>NC_000017.11:9278989-9430504 GCF_000001405.40 Homo sapiens | reverse complement strand
GTGAAATAAGCCAGATACAAAAAGACAAATATTGTATGATTTCACTTATATGGAATATCTAGGATAGGCAAATTCACAGAGAAAGAAAGTAGATTAGAGGTTACCGAGGCTAGGGGCAGGGGGAAATGGGGAATTATTACATAATGGTTAGAGTTGCTGTTTGAGATAATTTTAAAGTTTTGGAAATAGATAAGTGGTGGTGGTTATACCACACTGTTAGTGTAATTAATGCCACAGAATTATATACTTTAAAATGGCAAATTGTTTTATATATAATATATATTTTATTTATATATAAATTATATATAATTTATATTTTATTTATATATAAATTATATATATTTTATATTTTATATATAAATTATATATATTTTATATTTATATTTATTTATATATAAAATATATATATTATATAGAATATATATATTATATAGAATATATATATTATATAGAATATATATATTCTATAGAATATATTATATATAATATATAATATATAATATATATATTATATATAATATATTCTATATAATATATAATATATATATTATATATAATATATTCTATATAATATATATTATATATATTATATATAATATATAATATATTATATATAATATATTCTATATAATATATAATATATATAATATATATTATATATTATATATAATATATATAATATATAATATATAAAATATATATGTTATATATAATATATAAAATATATATGTTATATATAATATATAAAATATAATATATATAATATATAATATAATATAAAATATATAATATATATTTTTTTGAGATGGAGTCTTGCACTGTCGCCCAGGCTGGAGTGCAGTGACGCGATCTCAGCTCACTGCAAGCTCCGCCTCCTGGGTTCACGCCATTCTCCTGCCTCAGCCTCCCGAGTAGCTGGGACTACAGGTGCCCGCCACCACGCCCGGCTAATTTTTTGTACCTTTAGTAGAGATGGGGTTTCACCGTGTTAGCCAGGATGGTCTTGATCTCCTGACCTCATGATCCGCCTGCCTAGGCCTCCCAAAGTGCTGGGATTACAGGTGTGTGAGCCACCGTGCCTGGCCTATTTACATATATTTATATATTTATAATATATAAATATATGTTATATATAAATATTTATTATATATTATATATAAATATATGTATATAAAATATATAATAAAAATATATAAATAATGTATTTATATATTTTATATATAATATATAAAACAAAATGTGCCATTTTGCCATTTTAGATATATATATCTCAAAACAATTTTAAAAAATTAATAGTATAACATTCCAAAAACTATGTAATTATACAGTTTAAATGGGTAAATTTGTGGCAGGTGAATTATGTCTCAATAAAACTGTTTTAAAAACCCCACTGAGTATATAGTAAGGGATTGGGATGTTCTGGTTAACTGAATCTTCTGGGTAATTAAGGATTAATATGTTTGCACTGAAACTGACCAAGTCAAAGGTACCCTTTCATGAAATATGGGGCTATGAACTTGAAAAACATGTTTTGTGCCTCATTGGTTGCATTTTCTTTCAATTATGTGTCTCTAGAAATATGACACTTTGCTATCAACAGAGCCTCTGAATAGACCGGTGTTGTCCACTATAGTAGCCACAGGCCACTTGTAGCTATTGAGCTCTTATAATGTGGCTAGTCTGAATTAAGATGTACTGTAAGTACAAGGTAACACTGAACTTGGAAGATATGGTGCCAGAAAAAAAGATTCAAAATATCTTGCCAATAATTTCTATATTGATTACATACTGAAATGGTAATATTTGGCTATATTGGGTTAAATAAAATATGCCATTGTTCCTTTTTACTTTTTCATAATTACAGACATGGTTCACATTACATTTCTATCAGACAGGGCTTGTCCAGAAATCAGACTGATCCACTCAGGGTGAACACACCTCAAGAGAGATTAAGAATCATTTCTTTGCCGGACGGGGTGGCTTACGCCTGTAATCCCAGCACTTTGGGAGGCCAAGGCGGGTGGATCACAAGGTCAGGAGATCAAGACCATCCTGGCTAACACGGTGAAACCCCGTCTCTACTAAAAATACAAAAAATTAGCCGGGCGTGGTGGCGGGTACCTGTAGTCCCAGCTACTCGGGAGGCTGAGGCAGGAGAATGGCATGAACCCGGGAGGCGGAGCTTGCAGTGAGCCGAGATCGCGCCACTGCCCACCAGGCTGGAGACAGAGTGAGACTCCATCTCAAAACAAAACAAAACAAAACAAAAGTCATTTCTGGTGACTAAGTAGAATACAAAAGACTTGCCTGAATTGTCATGGATGTCAAGAGAATTTACCTCTCACAGGATGACTACCCCCTGTTCTCTGATTCAGAGTTTTTAGAAATGGGAGACTTGGAAAGGGCCTTCTCTAACCAGGTGAGAACTCTGAGGAGTCAGCAGCCACTGGTCCTAGGAGTGCAGTTCTGTGTGCTACAGCCCTTGGGTCCATAGCACGAGTCAGCTCAACTGAAAAGCAGAGGAATGATGTCAGTATATCCTGGAGGTTAGATTGATCCAGAAGCAGTTTTTCTTTGGCCAGAGGAGCAGGAATTGCCGGAGTAGAGTTACAGCCTTCAGCAAGAAAGGAAAGAACCTCACAGGCAGCAGACACGCTTTTCAACTCTATTTTAAGAAAATTAAAAATGAGTGCCTGCACCCAGCGCTTTCTCTCCAGGACAGGCACCCGCTAGCCTTCTAGGACTCTGGGCTCCCAGCAGGCATCTTCCCTCTGTGTCCACCTTAACATAGCTCCTGGCTCAGAACTCCACTCTGTCTGTGAGCCAACAGTTGCCACTCTGTCATTTGTGTGTTTAATATCCCTCGAGGCAGCCGCAGCCACAGCCAAGCTGCTTGCCTAGGCTGTCCAAGTCATCTCCCTAGGTATTAATTATTCTTTTGGTTAGTGCTCTGGTTACAGAGTTACAGAGGGATTTAGTGGTCTACCCCAACAGCCTTTTTCATCCCGTTATTTTTCAAGTGTGATTTTGTAGGATGTGAGATTTTTCAGGAATGTATATATCACATTATAGCAGAAATACCGACATGGATTTTTGTCCTGCTCCTTCAACACACAAGTCTCAGGATGCCCAGGTGACTGCCTGCCACACTGGGGAGGCGTGTTCCTGGCATCACACAGCAGACTCGGGTTCAGACTGTTGTGCATAGTGATCAGGTGTGGCTGGATCAAGACTGCTACTCCTGTGACATGGTGTGATAGATCTCATGGGCCACCTGGGAACGGGTCTGCCACATATACAACGTTATTTCTATGGGAACATGTATTTGGGCATCCTTGAGTTCTGAACAACTAAGCCACGAATACACTTTTGGAATTCATTCTCTTTGCAAATTGGGGAATACCCAGAAGCCTCTAGATAGCAACTCTCTTACTTCCAACCGAGCAAATAGGAAATGTGAACTTTGGGAAGCTGAAAGTAGTTATAAAAATCACAGAAATTCAAAGGTAATTAGTGGTAAAATGGGAATTTCAGACTATCTTTCTATCTCTTAACTAGTAAGAGATACACTGGTAATACTAGGTAATATAAGTTATATCTAGTAAGAGATAGACTGGTAATACTAGGTGTGTCTCTTACAAGATATAACTTATATTGAATTATTTTGTTTGCTCAGTGTAAAACCTCTGAAAATCTTCAGAGGATAAATTTTACCACCATCATTCTTTATTTTACTTTATTTTTTGAGACAGTCTCGCACTGTCACCCAGGCTGGAGTGCAGTGGTTCAACCATAAGGTCACTGCAGCCTCTACCTCCCAGGCTCAAGCGATCCTCCCACCTCAGCCTCCTGAGTAGCTAAGACCACAGGCATGTGCCACCATGCCTGGCTAATTTTTTAAATTTTTACTAGAGACAAGGTCTCACTGTGTTGCCCAGGCAGGTCTTTAGTTTTTAGTTTTATTTATTTATTGTTTTCAAGATGGAGTTTTGCTTTGTGACCCAGGCTGGAGTGCAGTGGCACGATCTTGGCTCACTGCAACCTCTGCCTCCTAGGTTCAAGCAATTCTCCTGCCTCAGCCTCCCAGGTAGCTAGGACCACAGGTGCCGACCACCACGCCCAGCTAATTTTTGTATTTTTAGTAGAGACAGGGTTTCGCCATGTTGGCCAGGCTGGTCTCAAACTCCTGACCTCAGGTGATCCACCCACCTTGGCCTCCCGAAGTGTTGGGATTACAGGCGTGAGCCATCGTGCCTGGCCTTGGGCAGGTCTTGAGCTCTTACACTTAAGCAGTCCTCCTGCCTCAGCTTCCCCAAGTGCTAAGATTACAGGTGTGAGCCCCCACACTTGGCCCCCAGTTCTTTATTAGCATAGAATAAATCCTTCAAAACGTTGAAATTCAGCATTTTTGGGCTACTTAGGCATTGTATCAGATTAAAGACAGATTGTCTAGGTTCTAATTAACAGGGTGCTTTTTAGTGGTTGGCTGATCCTACTTGAGAAGAGAGAGACAGTTATTATAGGATGAAGGATGGGACTTTGGAGCCATGTTTCAGCTGTGTGTGTGTGCGCGTGCATACGTGCGTGCAAGAGAGAGATTGAGACTGGCTCATCTGTAGACGTCCAAGCCTTTAGATGTGTGTACTGAGCTTTTCTCTGGCCTGGGCTGAAGTCCCTAACTCCAATATGTGCTAGGGATCTGAGCTTGGAGGGACATTAGTGGACTATTTCAGATTGTCGTCCGTGCTTAGTAGAACCTGTGAAGCTGTACAGTTTGCCTGTCACTTAACTGGAAGAAAGAACTAAATGCTGTACCGCAATTATTTTGCAACTATTACTGAAGATAACATCTTAACACATTGAAATTTTGATCATGATGGATTGTAATGAACATTTTTTACATGGTTTGCTTTTCACCATGAAAACCTTTTGAGTGATAATATTTAAAGTCCGTGTCGTGCTCAGTAGCTCAATAGCTGGTAGCGATTATCATTAAGTGCAATTATTAAGTGGAGTGCCCCCACCTTGCTTCAGGTGTACCTCTTTATTTTAATGACAATCAAAAGAATCATGTCATTTACCATTCAGATATTAACAGTATACATAATTTATAAATACAAATAAATCATCATGTATTATATGATTAAAATGAATGAACCTGGACAGGAGCATGTGTGATAAGTTATTGAGATTTTTGTAAATCTGAAGTATTGAGATTTTTGTGACGTTACTGAGATTTTGTTGAACGATGACTACCTAGAAGGCATTCTTTCTCTGTACAGTGTTGGGTGATATAATGTAGTGTTTCAGACAAAAAGCCAGCTGATTAGAAAGAACATATTGACAAGAGGCCAGATTTGCTCATTATTTAATATAGAAGATTTGAAAAATATACTTTTTCTTAGTCAGAAACTGTGGCCTCTGTCCTACCCCATAAAAATCCTGGTCATTCATCAGTATCAGCCACAGGTGCTGCCTCATTCATGAATCTTTTCCTGAGTTTCCCCAATTGGAGATGATCTCTTCATCCTCTACACTCTGGCACTTTTAACCTCTCTTGTGTTACATGGTATTCTTTGCTTTGGATGATTTATAGTTATTTCTGAATTTGTTTTTTCTCTACTAAATTTCAAACTCCTTAAGGGAAGGGGACTGTCATATCTTTGCATCCTCGGAAGATATACAAAGTGCTTTGTACCTAGGCAGCACCAAGAAAGATGATATTCTCGATTTTGGATTGATTCCTCAGTTAAATCTGTTTGTAACTTTTTGAAGAAAATATACTACAAGTATCTACCATACCCCAGTGACCTGTTCAGAATGCTTGTATGAGAGAGCTGATTCTGTAACTCGAAGTTGATCAAGAATGGGCCAGGGCATGACCTGGAGGGAAGAGGAATAAGGATCTGGAAACCAGAGTGTCACAGTGGAAGAAGAGGGGATCGAGGGAGAATGGAGATCCTAACCAGAGGCAGGGGGAGGAAGGCCAGGCGCTGCACTTTAGGCAGGTGTAACACGAGGCCCCAGGCAGAGAGAGGGCCTGGAGGCAGGGTGAGTGAGTGTCTGTAGTGGGTTGACTGTTTGCCTGTTGACAGGGACCTTCAGCAGCAACTTTTGGGGCCTGAGGGAGAGGGTTGAAGGATAAACTGGTTGAGAAAGTAGGCAGGGCCCCAATCTTGCAGGGACCCAAAACCAAGCAGAACCTTAGGCCCCAGGGAACGAGGAATGCGTCAGTTCCCAGCACTGGGCGGATGCAAAAATGCCTGGCTGCCCGGCCACCCTGCTGTTATTCTCTTGTCAGGGCTCAGGACTGACAGCCAACCCAGCTTCATATCTTAGGGGGTCGCCCAGCCAGGGAACCCAAGGTGTTGCTAGAGTTGAGGGGTGGGAAAAATATGGTTGGAGCAGTTCTTTCACAGCCTGGGGTAGGTGGCAGTTTTATGAGGTCAACACATCTGGAAAATGTGTAGGGACCATCAGAATGCGTAGATAAACCCTACAAACCAACCTGTCATGGCTGACTTGTGTGCCGAAGCCTAAGTCACTGCCATACTGAACTCTGTGGCAGTAGAAGATTTGCAGTGTCCTGTGGCTGACAGATGTGGTATGCTTCTCAGTAATAATCAGCGGAAAACTAGGATTGCAACTCAGCCCGTGACTGATATGGACGGCGTCTTTAAAGATGGTCTGGTGCAGTGTCTAGCTTTCTGGCAGAAAAAATTCTAACCTGTGGCACAGTGTTTTTCTTTTATCTTTGGAGGATCACTGACCTGCAAGGGTAAGAAAATAAAGTAATTGAAAGCTCATAAAAAGACATAACTCATGTCAGTTTTCAACATAGCATTTTGCTTTGAATTTTCTTCCTTAAAAACATAACATTTGGCCGGGCACGGTGGTTCTCACCTGTAATCCCAGCACTTTGGGAGGCTGAAGCGGGCGGATGACAAGGTCAGGAGGTTGAGACCAGCCTTAACAACATGGTGAAACGCCATCTCTACTAAAAATACAAAAATTAGCTGGGCATGGTGGCGCATGCCTGTAATCCCAGTTACTCAGGAGGCTGAGGCAGGAGGATTGCTTGAACCCGGGAGGCAGAGGTTGCAGTGAGCTGAGATCGTGCCACTGCATTCCAGCCTGGGTGACAGAGAGAGAGACTCCGTCTCAAAAAACAACGACAACAAAAAATAACGTTTATTAGATTGCTTCCTCATTATTACTTCTAAAAACAGACTTATTAAGAAGAAAACAGACCATAGTTTCCTCATTTAGCTAACACTTATTGACAGTGCTAATAAGGAAATGCATATTTAAGGTTAGGAATTACAGATAGTGCAGAAAGGTACAAAATGAAAAGTGAACGTTTCTTTTGATTCTGGGGAAAGTGTTACCCAGATATGTATATATGCACTTATTTATGGGTTATTTTTTAAGGGGAAAGGAATATATACTACATGCATTGCATGCTTTTGCTTTTTTAGCCTAATTAATCCCAGAGATGCTTCTTTATCACCACGTACAGATTTACCTGATTCTTCTGAGGAGCTGCATGGTATTACGTAGTATGTGTTTGCTGTAATTTAACCAGTCCTCTAATGACAGACATTTATGTCCAGCATTTTTCTTCCCTAAACAGCGCTTCAGTGATCATTAATACAAGCTGATTTGGAAAATCGCCACTTCTGAAGGTAGATGGTATAAACTAGGGGTCAGCGAACCTTGTCACCAAAGGGCCAGATAGTAAGCTTTGTGGGCCAGGCCGTGTGATCTGTGTTGCAGCTATTCACCATTGCAGTTACAGTGCAAAAGCAGCCATTGCTGCAGAAACAGAATGTGGCATATCCATACAATGGAATGTTATTCAGCCATAAATAGGAATGAATACTGACACATGGAACAACACGGATGAACCTTGAAAACATCCTGCCAAGTGAAAGAAGCCGGACACAAAAGGCCACATATTGTATGATTCCATTTTTATGAAATATCTAGAACAGACGAATCCATGGAGCCGTAATTCAGATTGGTGATGCCAGGAACTAGGGAGAGGGGTGTATTAGTCCGTTCTCACATGCTGTAAAGAACTACCTGAGACGGCCTTGGCCAGGCATGGTGGCTCACACCTGTAATCCCAGCACTTTGGGAGGCCGAGGTGGGCAAATCACCTGAGGTCAGAAGTTCAAGACCAGCCTGGCCAAAACAGTGAAACCCTGTCTCTACTAAAAAAATACAAAAATTAGTCAGGTGTGGTGGCACACGCCTGTAATCCCAGTTACTGGGGAGGCTGAGGCAGGAGAATTGCTTGAACCCAGGAGGCAGAGGTTGCAGTGAGCCAAGATCGCGCCATTGCACTCCAGCCTGGGCAACAAGAGTGAAACTCTGTCTCAAAAAAAAAAAAAAAACTACTACCCGAGACTGGGTAAATTATAAAGAAAAGGGGTTTGATTGGGTCATGGTTCCACAGGCTCTACAGGAAGCATGGCTCGGCGAGGCCTCAGGAAGCTTAGAATCGTGGCAGAAGACAAAGGGAAAGCTGGCACGTCCTACATGGCCGGAGCAGGAGGAAGAGAGAACAAAGGGGGAGGTGCTCCGCTTTCAGACCACCAGATCTTGTGAGAACTCGATTGGAACAGCATGGGGGAAGTTCACCCCCATGATTCAGTCACCTCCCAACAGGCCCCTCCTTCAACATGTGGGGATTACAATTCGACATGAGATTTGGGTGAGGACACAGAGCCAAACCATGTCATGCGGCCATGGGGAGCAGCTGCTTAAGTGGTATGGGTTTCCTTTTGGAGTGAGGAAAGAAGAGTTTGAAACTAGATAGGGGTGGTGATTGTTCAGTGTTGCAGATGTACTAAATGCCACTGACTTGTTCAGTTTAAATTGGCCAATTTTATGTTATCTGAATTTCACCTCAATAAAAGAACACCTAGTTCACTCCCAGGAGCAGGGGAAAGGATAAAGCAGCCAGGGTCACCATGTAAAGGCATAAGCATGGCTGTATTCTGCTACATTGTATTATAAACCTTATTTACAGCAAGAGAAGGCATGCCTGCTCTGGCCTATATAATCTGCAAAAAAAAAAAAAAAAATTTTTTTTTTTTTTTTTTTTGAGATGGAGTTTTGCTCTTATTGCCCAGGCTGGAGTGCAGTGGCTCCATCCCGCCTCACTGCAACCTCTGCCTCGCGGGTTCAAGCGATTCTCCTGCCTCAGCCTCCCGAGTAGCTGGGATTACAGGCATGCGCCACCATGCCCGGCTAATTTCGTATATTTAGTAGAGACGGAGTTTCTCCATGTTGGTCAGGCTGGTCTCAAACACCCGACCTCAGGTGATCCGCCCGCCTCGGCCTCCCAAAGTGCTGGGATTACAGGTGTGAGCCACAGTGCCCAGCCAAAAAAAATTCTATAGTAATGCAAAGGTTAGATTAGGGATAGGTATAGGATTGAGATCCAAGGACTCAAGTTGGGGAAACGAATTTGGAGGTTATTGCAATAGTCCAGTTGCGTTTCTTCATTTCAAGGGAGGTCAGAGAGCCCGCTGAGAAACTGGTGGAACAATGGGACTCATCTCCATTTCCACCCCCTAATGTACTTAAAGGCACATGCACGTAAATGTTGCCTATGAAAATGACCGTCCACAATTCTAAGTTGAGAGACTCTCTTCTGGTTGGATAAAACGAGAGTGCAAACTCTCATCAATAGACGGAAGACTGAAAATAAGCCATTGGAATTTTCCAGTAAGTCACTGATGACCTCGGCAGGAACACTGTCCCCGTAATAATCGCGCCTCAAGCTCAGTTGTAGTGGGTTGTGAGTGTATGAGGATTCAAGTTGTGGGGGCAGAATTGTAGACTTAACCTCTCAAGAAGGTTGGTGTTGAAAGGAAGAAGGAAGCTTAGTAAGCATGAGCATGAAGGCTGGTTTAATAGAAGGGAGGGGTTGGAGCATGTCTATGGACTGAGAAACAGGCCAGAACCGAGAAGGTGAAGATGCGGGAAAGTGCTGTGGGCGGGCCACGGTGGCAGCAGATAGGCGAGGGTCCTCCCTGGAGAAGGAGAGGGGACATTTAGAATGGAACTGATAGGCACCTATAGGTAAGGTTACTGGTCGAAGGAAGAGAGCTAACTTGGCGGAGTCGTGCCCTTTAGGAAATAATTGATGAGAACACCTGCTGAGAAAAAGGGAGGTGGCTGTGGAGCCACGGGCTTAAGAGAACTGCAGAGGTTCAGGGCCGCTGCTGTGGGCAAGGATTTCTGAGTCCCTGGCGGCCGATGTTGAATATGATTGATGAGTTCTCAGGACTCCTTCAGTCAACGAATATTTCCTGAGTGCGGTCCCTGTGCCATGGGGTTACCCATCTAAGAATACACATTGAGCTCATGCTTTTCTAATTTTTCACCAAGAATGTTGTAAGAGAGACTGTGAGATGTGTGACTAATTCATCTAAACAGCCCAACACTAATATTACAGAATGGGTTTAAGTGGGTTCAGCAGATTGATTCTTGATAGTTTAACGCCACTGCACAATAAACCACAGTAGTTTAGTCAAATGAACAATGAGGGTAACTTTTACACAATTACTGAAAAGTTAGCCTATGCCAAAAGAAAAGGTTTCTACACAGATAATTTCCTATTTCCTCTGAAGTTTCCGTGAATCTTATGGGATTCTGCAGTTAGACTGGATATGTATTTCTGCTCACTCTTCTCACCACCTGTTTTGTTTGTTTTAAGTAAAATTCAGGTCCATAAGAGCAAAATAGAGCTCTATGGGCTCAGGAAACACAGTCTTCTCAGTGGAGGTTAAGTTTGGGGCCTCATCCTGAGGCCGTGACCGTTCATGGACCCAGTGACCAACTCTGCTAACAGAAAGGTTTTCACCATGCAATGTAAGAAGCTGTTGGAATTCCCAGATAGAGCATTCTCGATACTTAATATCTACCTCCCATTTGTTGTCCTTTTTGCTGTTGAAATTCAACTTCCACCCTTCTCTTGTGAATGATCCAACTGGTTCCATGTATTTTCTGGGATCTGTAGTCCACTCCCCAAAACACACCTTGTTAAAAAGGTGATTGATTTTAATTGGCCTCTTATAAGGTAAATTAAAAACCATTAATTCTAAATCAAAGCAATTAATGGTGGCTTATGCCTATACAGTCCCAGCTTACTTGGGAGGCTGAGGTGGGAGGATCACTTGAGGCCAGGAGTTTGAGATCACCTTGGGCGATCTCAACATAGTGAGACCCTGTGTCTAAGAAAAATTTTTTAAATAAAATAACGAACTGGGCATGGTGATACACACCTCTACTCCCAGGACTTTGGGAGGCTGAGGCAGGAGGCTCACTCGGGGCCAAGAGTTCTGGACCAGCCTGAACAACATAGTGAGACCCCTATTTCTACAAAACAATTTTTGAAAAAAATTAGGGATGATGGCACAGGTCTGTAGTCCCAGCTACTAAGGAGGCTGAAGTGGGAGGATTGCTTGAGCCCAGGAGGTTGAGGCTGTAGTGAACTGTGATGGTGCCACTGCACTCCAGCCTGGGTGACAGGGAGAGAGCCCATCTCTTTAAAAAAAAAAAAAAAAGAAAAAAAAAGAGGGGGGGGTGTGGGCAAAAAATGAAAGCATTCATTCTCAAATGTTCCTCTCCCTCCCCCTTCCCCCCCCCCTTTTTTTTTTTTTGAGACGGAGTCTTGCTCTGTCGCCCAGGCTAGAGTGCAGTGGCGTGATCTCAGCTCACTGCAAGCTCCACCTCCCACGTTCATGCCATTCTCCTGCCTCAGCCTCCCAAGTAGCTGAGACTACAGGCGCCCGCCACCACGCCCGGCTAATTTTTTGTATTTTTAGTAGAGACGGGGTTTCACGTGTTAGCCAGGATGGTCTCGATCTCCTGATCTCATGATCCGCCTGCCTCAGCCTCCTAAAGTGCTGGGATTACAGGCGTGAGCCACTGCACCCAGCCTTGTTTTTTTTTTTGTTTTTTTTTTTTTTTAGAAAAACGGAAAGAACATGGTAAAAGGGCATTCTCTGAGGAGAAAGTCCTTTGCCTTTAATTTCTTGAATAAATCCTCTTAGATTGTCTCTGCTGGCATGTTGTTAGAACCATCTCCTAATGGGGATGTATCCCACACTTACTGTTAGTTTTCGACTTTCACTGCCTATTAGAATCACCTTGAGAGTTTTAAAATCCTGATGCCTGATGTCTGGGCTGCACCCTATACCAATCAGAGGTTTTTCCCTCCTGACAACAAATATATGGGGACTTTTCCAATACCACGTCTCTGATTCCTTGCCACCACTTGGCTGTGCTACAGTCTGGTTCAATTCTGGCTCTAATTAGCATCAGACTCCACAGTTTGAAGGGCTCCGTCTCACAAGGCTGCCCTTACTTCAGATACCAGCTGCAAGCACTGGGTCTCCAGTTTACCCACACTTCTGTCCAACGTGGCTACAAACTGGAGGTTCCCACAATCTTCTACCAAGTTTGATGATTTGCTAGAACAACTCACTGAGCTCAGGAAAATGCTGTACTATTTTGTTACCAGGGATGCAAGGAACAGCCTGATGAAGAGGCACTTAGGGCAAGGTCCAGAAGTGTCCCCAGCACAGGAGCTCCTGTCCCCGTGGAGTGAGCATGCAACCCCCTTCTGGCACAGGGATGCATTTGCCTACTCAGAAGCTCTCTGAGTCCCATCATTTAGGGGTGTTCGTGGAGGTTCCATTACATAGGCATGATTGATTACATCGTTGGCCATTTGTGATTGACATCAGTCTCCAGTTTGTCTCACCACCTCAGAGGTTGGGTTTGGGGGCTAAGAGTTCCAACTCTGTAATCACATGGTTGGTTCCTTCTGGAGACCAGTCCCCATCCTGAAGCTATCTAGGGCCCCACTGAGGGTCACCTCATTAGCATAAACTCAGATATGTTTATGCTAGGGGCTTAACAAGGGGTTTTTTATGAATAACAAAAGACACTCCTATTAGTAAGGAAATCACAAGAGTTTTAGGAGCTTTGTGCCAGGAACTGGGGACAAAGACAAATAGATTTTTTATTATACCCCAACTAACTAAATCAGAATTTCTGGGAGTAGGAAACGGGCATCTGTAATTTTAAAGCTCCTCTAGGTGATTCCAGGGTGCATCTAACTTTGAGAAAAATCGTTCCTTGGCAATGGTTTTATAGGCTTAGCATTAAAGGAAAAAAATATACTAAAGCTTTGGCCCTAACTCTGTAATCATCTAACGTGTTCTTTTTGCCCACTACACAGACAAAACCAATTCACTGAGACAGCGTTATTGCAGTAGAGAAAGAGTTTAATGCAGAGCTAACCAAGCAGAAGGACAGAAGTTGATTACTCAAATCAGCTTCCCAGAAAGCTTGGTTTTTCAAGGATAGTTTGGTGGGCAGGGGCCTAAGTAATGGGTGCTGCTGATTGGCTGGAGAGGAACCCATAGGGGTGTGGAAAACAGTCTGTGTGCACTGAGTCAGCCTCTGGGTAGGGGGCCACAGGACCCGCTGAGTCATGAGTCACAGGTCTGGGTCAAGGCAGTTGGTTGCCAGAATGGAAAAATCTGAAAAAACATCTCAAAAGATCAATCTTGACTTCTACAATAATGATGTTATCTATAGGAACAATTGGGGTAGTTAGAAATCTTGTGACCTCCAAAACACTGGCTGGTTATCCTCTAACTGTGTACATTTTAGCAGAATTCAAGCCCCTTGCATAATCCTAATCTCATGGGATTTCATTAGTTTTTTTTCAAAGGTGGTTTCAGTCCCTGAGCAAGGAGGGGGTTTGTTTTAGGGAATAACTATTATCCTGGCTTAAAAATTAAACTGCAGGCCGGGCGTGGTGGCTCACATCTGTAATCCCAGCACTTTGGGAGGCCAAGGTGGGCAGATCACGAGGTCAGGAGTTCAAGGCCAGCCTGGCCAAGATGGCGAAATCCCGTCTCTACTAAAAATACAAAAATTAGCCGGGCGTGGTGGCATGTGCCTGTAATCCCAGCTACTCGGGAGGCCGAGGCAGAGAATTGCTTGAACCTGGGAGGTGGACGTTTCAGTGAACTGAGATCGTGCTACTGTACTCCAGCCTGGGCAACAGAGCGAGACTCCATCTTAAAAAAAAAAAAATTAAACTACAAACTAAATTCCTCCCATAGTTAATTTGGCCTGTGTCCAGGACTGAGCAAAGGACAGCCAGCCTGAGAGGCTAGAAGCAGGATGGAGTCAGCCATGCTACATTTCTCTCGATGTCATCATCTTTGCAAGGCAGTTTCACCCTAGTCCAATTAAGTTGGGATCTCTGAGAATGAAGCCTAGGTAAGGTATGACTTAAAATAACCCACATGCTTTTAATGTGCAACCAGGGCTGAGAAGCAGGTGTAAGGTAACAGGAAACCTTCACGTCAGCACAGCTCTGGAGACACTTGGAGATAGGGAATGAGAACTCAAGGGAAATGACTGCCTGGAGTGGCCCAAGTGGGGTTCATTATAAAGTTGTAAATAAATCCAGGAGAACTCATTACTGTTACAAGCAAGAGCAGCCAGGGCAAAGACGTGAGAAAACTCCAAAAGAAGAAGGGATGCCAGCATAGAAGCTGGAAATGGGTTAGTATGTTATTTTGGGATTTGTAGATGAGAGTTTCAAAGGCTGGGTGAACAGCCTATTTCAAAAGCCATGAAGAAGCTGGATAAGATGATACAGAAGAAAAGCCATTGCTTTTTGTTGTTGTTGTTGAGACGGAGTCTTGCCCTGTCAGTCAGGCTGGAGTGCAGTGGCGCAATCTTGGCTCACTGCAAGCTCCACCTACCGGGTTCACGCCATTCTCTTGCCTCAGCCTCCTGAGTAGCTGGGACTACAGGCGCCTGCCACCACGCCCGGCTAATTTTTTGTATTTTTAGTAGAGATGGGGTTTCACTGTGTTAACCAGGATGCTCAATCTCCTGACCTTGTGATCCTCCCGCCTCGGCCTCCCAAAGTGCTGGGATTACAGGAGTGAGCCACCGCACCCGCCGAAAAGCCATTGCTTTTGTAACAGTCATGTCCCAGGGTCATTGATGGGTTCACTAGAGTATGTAGAGTAGAAGCCAGGTTCTAGGACCTTATTTGAGGCTACAGATACCAGGAACTTGTTAATGAAAGAAAGGTGCAAACTAACACAGGAGAAAACTAGGGAGGGCGTCAACATCAAGTGAAGGATCTTGAGGTTTCATTTTATAATTAGTTTATGACACAAGGAGAGGACCCCAGGCTGATGTGTTTAAAGGCAGAAGGAAAGGTGCCTGGAGAAAGGAAAAGAGGTTTGAAGATGCTAGAAAAAGAGGCTGTTGTCCACCAACCTTGTTACAACTGTGTGTTGAGGCCTATTGTCCTTCCTCAGGCTGTGGGATGGGGTGGAATGCAGAACTCAGGCAGACCGGGCGTGGTGGCTCACACCTATAATCCCAGCACTTTGGGAGGCCGAGGCGGGTGGGCCACCTGAGGTCAGGAGTTCAAGACCAGCCTGGCCAACATGGTGAAACCCCATCTCTACTAAAAATACAAAAATTAGCTGGGCATGGTGGCGGGTGCCTGTAATCCCAGCTACTCGGGAGGCTGAGGCAGGAGAATCGCTTGAACCCAGGAGGTAGAGGTTGCAGTGAGCCAAGATGGTGCCACTGCACTCCGGCCTGGATGACAAGAGAGAAACTCCAACTCAAAAAAAAAAAAAAAAAAAAAAAAGCAGAACTCAGGTATCAGTTTCCAAACAAAGCAAGTATCAAAAGCTGTGTTTTGTGACTGGGTGAGAAAGAAGACCCAAAACAGACACAAACAGATTTGTGCCTGACTGGTTCTTGTGGTTGACCCTGGGTAGAGCGGTCTCACCCTGTGACACCTGGGTGTCAGCTTTAGTTCTCACTGAGTACCTCAGACAGTTTACTCTGTCAACTCGACTTCACACAAGTCCCCTAGCCCAAAGCATGGTTATGAGACAAGTGCCTGTCCTTGAGCTGTTTGTTACCAGTTTGCAATGAGGTAAGTATGACATTGAGAATAAGAATTCAGACTTTTATAACATTTGGTGTTGCCATGACATCCAGTTATACTGTTAATGGGCTTAAAAATTTAATTTTCCTAGTAAATCATTTTTGTTGTATTTTGCAAAAGCTTTTGTCTGTGACACATTGAAAATGAAAAAAAAAAAGTTCTGCACCACAGAGAGTTTGAGAAGCAGTGTTCCAGCCCTTTCCCTCCAATTTGACTGATGCTCTGTGCCTTTCTTAGGGAAATTCTGTAGCTACCACTTACCTTCACTCAGGAGTCTGTGCTGGATTTTCGCCACCTCTTGGATGCTGGCATTTGCTTTCATGGATGGATGGATGGATGGATGGATGGTTGGATGGATGGATGGATGGATGGATGGATGGATGGATGGATGGATGGACAGATGGGTGGATGGATGGATGGACAGACGGACGGGCAGATAGATGGTTGGATGGATGGATGGATGGATGGACAGATGGGTAGGTGGGTGGATGGATGATTTGTTGGATAGATAGGTGGATGGTTGAGTGGATAGGTGGGTGGGCGGATGGGTGGATGGACGGTTAGATGGACGGATGGATGGATGGATCGATGGATGGATCGATAGATGCATACATACTTACATACGTACATATATTTGTGGCTGTCCCTGCAAGTTTTTTTCCGTTGAGGTATACACGAGCACAGCCCTCCATCTGTGTTGGCAGTCAGCTTCTCACAGTTACACTTGGCCCCACTTTCACTCAGAAGCCCTTGTTCTCTGGCTTCTTTGTATTCACCTATTTATTCTGTGGATATACATAGTGTTGGGGTAGTGGAAACACTGGAAGCTTGGCAGTAGTTTCTCAAGGATTGAAGCTTGTTTCTTTAGATCTGAGGTAGATATGACTAGGGGGAAAAACAATGGAGAGATAAAGGCTACCATTGAAAACCCTTAGCTCCTATCTGTGCAATTACAATCTGATGCTCAGGAAGCCCTTTTCTGGGTGCACAAATGTAAATAACCTACAAGTCTTGAGAAACAGGTCTCCTTTACGTTCACAGCTGTGTTCCTAAGAATTCCCAAGAATCACAGCTCCATGTCCCCCAGCTACCAGCCTAGGTTGTTGGCCTCTCTGTCCACATTTTACCTTTGGGCAGTGCTTGCCAGTTGATGTGCAATAACAGAGTAGGGGTGTTGAACTGCCATTCTCTCTGTCTCCAGTGAAAAGACCCACTTAGCCCTGGTCAGTCTGCCTGTGAGCAAAGAATTTCCTACTCATAACAGATTGGGTGAGTTCTGCTCCCTGGTGTTGCTCCTGGCCGGTCTTCCACCACTGGCCTAGTTCAGCTCCCTGTTACATCTCAGTGCTATTGCACAGCCTCCTTTCTGGTATTTTTTTCTCTAGTAAGCTTCTTGAGGGTCAGGGTTGTATCTCCATCAGTCAGTCATTCTTATACATCTAGGACTTAGCCCAATGCCTAACACATAGTGTCCAGTTACTATTAAATAGGCACCCTTTGTCCTATTGCAACTTTTCTTCCTAAAGCAAACATCTAATCATGTTCGGAAATTCTCATGATTTTTTTCTTTGATTACGTCCTTTCTCTACTTCCTCTACACCCCTCAATCTATAGTTCAGCAGTTCTCAACCTATTTTTATCATCTTCTATCAGAACTCTAAAGACGAATTATATTTACATGCAGAGAGCACTCTGTGAACAAATATGTATTTTGACAGAAACTCTTAAATGCTGAAGGGAATGAGGGCTCTGAGATAATGTCGAGGGCACATCAGTTATGGTGATCTATGGCATAGGATGGAGAGCCTGGGTGTGGGGGAATGCACATGAGTAACTTCCATTTTAGGGTAACTTCCACTCTGCTTTATTTAAAATAATTTTCAAAATTTGCTCCTGTGAGGCCGGGTGTGGTGGCTCACGCGTGTAATCCCTGCACTTTGGGAGGCCGAGATGGGCGGATCACCTGAGGTCGGGAGTTTGAGACCAGCCTGACCAACATGGAGAAAACCTGTCTCTACTAAAAATACAAAATTAGCTGGGTGTGGTGGTGCATGCCTGTAATCCCAGCTACTCGGGAGGCTGAGGCAGGAGAATCACCTGAACCTGGGAGACAGAGGTTGCAGTGAGCTGAGATTGTGCCATTGCACTCCAGCCTGGGCAACAAGAGCAAAACTCCGTCTCAAAAAAAAAAAAAAATTGCTGCTGTGATTAGTTACAAGTCACTTTAAGTGTTGATTTTGAACCAATTTTAGATTTATAGAAAAGTTGCAAAAATAATGCAAAGAGCTTTCTTATTTCCCTCACCCTAGTTTCCCTAATATTAACATCTTACCACTGTGTTCCTTGGACTATGTATTTGTGTATTTTTTAATCCTCCGTCAACTCAAGTTGACTGAATACTCACTTTTTACTACTAGGACTTTAATATTTAATTGAATAATGACAAAGATATTTAACTTTTGAGACTTTTGAGTTCCATGTACTTGTATTCTTTTATAGCTTGTCTATACCACTTTTAGTACAGTGACTTCCAACATTTTTAGATCATGCATCCCATTAGTAGGAATTATGAGCAACCCTCTCGAATATTTTTATAATTGTATCTGAAAAATTATATATACTACTGTTCTATATATTAGGTTGCTTCTAAAAAGGCTGAGAGATTAAGAAGTAAATGCAGCATATTAATGGAAATTTTAGTATTTTCTTTCCACATTCCAGTGAATCATCTTGTACACCCAAGTTTGCAGATTATTGGCTTGAATTACGATTTTGGCTTAAAATTCTCCCTCCCTTCCTGACAGAAATGGAACCTAGTGAGGAAACGATCCTGTTATGTATATTGTTTTAACATTGATTATCCCGGACTATGTAACATAGGAATTTTCCGATGTGCAATTTGGAAACAGCTGAACTGCTTTTGAGAATTTTACAAACCAAGTTTACTTGAAAACTTTGTGATTAATTAGGCAAAACAATTTCTCTTAAAGCAAAGCTATGGACTGTGTTTTTCCTGGTGTTGAGAACATTCGTTTTATAGCCAGGGATTTTAGAGTCTTCATGCTACAACAAAGGCTTTTTTCAGATCTAAGCACAGTATGAAAAATAAGACACTTTGCAAGGTGCTTGGGAAAGTTCTAAGCAGCTCCCAAGTGGGGAAGCCTTTGTTCTGGAGGAAGAGGCCTGAATTCAAGGGTTAATCAGAGAGACATTGAGAACATCATTCACTGCTAGTATAGGTCAGAGAGAAAAGTTCACATCTGGGTGTTACTGACCACCAAGCACTTTCTTGTGGTCCTTTCAGAAGTGATATATTGTTAAGTATCCCAAGAGTACAAACCTCTAGGGTAGATTTATTGGAGGAAAATGCTCCTTGTCCACATGATAAAGTATATATTTGTTTGCCTTGAAACACAGGTAGGTAAGAATTATGGACTTTGCAGTGGTTGTTATTTGAGCAAATAATGCTAACAAGTAATACTTCCTAAGTGTTCAAATTAGCACCTAACACAGTGCCTGGTGTATTGTAAATGTTTGTTGATTGCCCATTGAGTAAATGAGTTGAGATTTTTTGAGACTACGTGGTTTTGCTTTGTAATCATTTGTTAAACTGTACACATAAGTTTTGCTTTTCTCTTCGTATGTTACATTTCATGATAATGTTTTTAAACATTTTAGGAAAAAAATGTAATGAAGTTAATACATGGAGTTTGTTTCTTTTAGAAGTTTATGGATAATATGCTTACATTTCTTTTGTCAAGTTGAAACGTAAACATTAGAGTGTTTGCTTGTCAACACATGGAATTTGGTAATTAATTTATATTTGGAAAACCCATTCCGATTTTGAACATTTGAAAGATCAAGGTTTCCAAGTTTATCTTGCTAACAGCCAAGAACAGCTGCACTATGCGTAGCTTTTCAGATGGCTTCTCTGTGACATCTGTGAAGATAGACAACTCCAGTAACTGAGCGTGCCTGATTGCATGGCACGTTACCGCGTTTTATGACGTGTGGGAGCCAGTCTCCACTGTAATGGAAGAGAAATGCCGATTTGTACAAAAACACTTATTTGACTTAAATTTAAGCTCTATTAGATAATGAATGTTAAGGAAGGAAACGTACAATTTTAGCAAAAAGTGTAAAATTTGCTATTTAATTTTTACTTATACATGCTTTGAGAATAAACAGATGATTCTTTATCAGCAGATATAATTTGAAATAGAAATTAACTCAATCATAAGCAATGATGACTTATCTGGTAGTGATGTTATGACCATCATTAGTCAGGAATAAAAGAGAAATTCAGAATCCATGCCATTCATGCAAGCATGAAACAGAGTGGAAGATATTTGGGTGGGATGAAGGTGGAGGGAGCAACAGCTGTACAGCCATCGCATTTGTCTGTTCTCTTGCCAAAGCAGTTTTTGGATTTCTTGCCCTTGCATTCCATTTCTCCCTCCCCCACCCCCAATCCTTTCGTACTTACGATTCATAGGAAAAGACAAGATCAATCTTTTAAAAATCAGCTGGCTAATTAGAGGTGACCATAGGGCAGTTTCTAAGTTTATAGATGTTCCGATGATTAACTGTGGCAAAGGAGATTTCTCTTACTTTTGTACAGACTGTTTTAGTTTTCACTAATAAAAGCATTCACAAGGGAGGAACCACTGACCTGGCTTTTTTTCCCCCCAGTGCTTCCAATTAGGGATCTATTATCTCATTCCAGATAATTGGAAAAGGATATTCAAAACACGACTTCATGTAAATATGGTTTTTGCCTGCATTACATTACTAGGAGTTCTGAACACATCTGGAGCGAAGGCGGCCTCAGGGACATTAAAGTGTGCTGTTTTGGTTGGCACAGTGACATAATAGTATATGCCAATTTGTAATGGCTTTTGGAAACAGGCAGTTTTAAACTCTCCCTGAACGATTCCCCTGAGAAATTATTCAATTAAGTACAACTAAAATTAATGTTTAGCATTTTTTGTTTAAATAAAATAGGCGGCTATAAAGGGAAATCCGTGATTCATGCTGTATTCTTCTCATTTAACTCCAAAATCAAGCTCCTAAGACATAATTGAGTGTCCTGGAATCAGTGCCTTTTCCAGAAGATACATAGTTGCCAGATTCTCCTTAGCACTTTCATAGTATACAAATGATTCTGTTACTATCTAGACAGCTTTAAACACCAGGTGTTTGCCTAGTTTCTACGCCTGCAGGCACCACGGGGGAAGGCAGAAACCGGAAAGACTCCTTTCTCTCCTAAGTTGGTGCTTCCCAAACTTAATGGGCATAGGTGATATCTTGTTAAAATGAAGATTTGATTTGTTAGATTTGAGGTGTGGAGCCTGAGATTCTGCATGTCTAACCAGCTCTGGTGGGGGCGGGGGCAGGGGGTTGGGCAGTGGCTGCTGCTGGCTGAGTACCATACTTGGAATAGAGAGGTTCTGAGCAGTAGGGGGGGTAGGGAGAACCTGGGCTTAACTCTGATTTCCAGTTTGTGGCTTGGCCTGAGTGCATTCCAGTAGGTACGATTCTTTCTTCTGTTCCTAGTGCACGTCTGTCCTAATTTCTCAGAATCCCCAGTTCTCCTGGACCTGCATAGGACCCTCACGTAGACTTAGGACCCTCACGTAGACTTTTCTGGAAGAGGATGTTTCTGATTCATTAATCACAGGTGTAATGGCTTCCGTTTTTGTTACATGTCTTCCTGAAATCCAGATACATTGTCTACCCCATTTTCTCTGTTCCATCTTTTTGTAGCTGTGTTATAAAGAAAAAAGTTAACCTGTCATTCCTTAGTCTATGTTACTAAACACGTAGGCCAGAGCCCTGGTGAGTGAAAGGATGTATGAGTAAGCATGGCTTTGTGGTTTTTATCCAAGCATCATTACTTCCAAGGTTTGGCTTCTCAGCTCTTAGGTCCAGAACTTTGATGGTCAGTTTACTCAAGGGTGGTCTGATTGAGACATGGCTAAAAATCCACACTAGGTGAAAGCTCTTGAAAGACTGATTCATAACCCAGGGTGGTTTTTATCCATATATGAGATGGTATTCTACAAGAAAGACTATGATGTTCATGACTCCCTCACTGGCTATCCCTTTCCTGGGGATAACTAATTTATAGTTGGAGAATTACTAGATGGATAAAGATTGAGACATCCTTATAGTGACCAACGCTTACACCCTTCTGATCTTCCCGCCACAAATGGAGTCCAAAGCGCTGTTTCCTCCATTCAGTATGGTGTTCGCCAGACATTTGAGAACTAAACTCTGATTTTTTTATCTTGCCCAAATTCCTATATAAGGGGTCTGGGGAGTCATGCCCCATAAATCATAAATTCTCATCAGACGGGTTTTATTTTTATATATATCGTGACTTAACTTTCCAACCTGCCTCTGGCGTAACATTACAAGACAAGGAAGAAAATCAAAATATTTTACCCCAAAACATGTTTCTTTGCCATATTTTGAAATGGCCCTGCAAAGCTGTTCCTTGTGGGGGGAACATTTGCATCTGTAAAAATCTCCATTAACATAGCTAGACCTTCTTTTTCCAGACCCTCCCAATCCTAAAGAGATTAACTAAGATCTGAATAGGAAACATTTGTCATCTCTTGTCTCTAAGGGCAGCTACTGTAAGACTTCAGAAGAACTTTGGTCTCCACAGTCTTTATCTTAACCTGAATATTTGCTGTCTATCAATCCCAGGTCTTTAGACAAACTCAACCAATTGTCAACCAGAAAAAGTTTAAATTCACCCATAGCCTGGAAGCTGTCCCGCCCCCTCCAACCCCACCCCCTGCTTTGAGTTGTCCCGCCTTTCTGGACCAAACCAATGTATTTCTTAAATGTGTTTGATTGATGTTTTATGCCTCTCTAAAATGTATAAAACCAAGCTGCACCCCAACCACCTTGGGCACATGTTCCCAGGATCTCCTGAGGGCTGTGACACGGCCATGGTCACTCATATTTGGCTCAGAATAAATCCCTTCAAATATTTTACAGAGTTTGACTCCTTTTGTCAACACATTTCTATTGTTTGGTTGTGGTTTTTGTTGTTGTTTTTAATTCAAGCTCTCCTTCTTTTTGTCTATGGTTTGTTTTTTCTATCTCCCTCCTATTCTTTGTAAAATACGGTGCTGGGGCCAGGTGGGGTGGCTCATGCCTTTAATCCCAGCACTTTGGGAGGCCAAGGCAGGGGGGATCACTTGAGATTAGGAGTTCGACACCAGCTTGGGCAACATAGCAAGACCCCGTCTCTATTTTAAAAGTCACATATATTAAAAATATAGTTCTGATCATGGCATTTGCTTGCAAAAACTTTCCAGTGCTTCTTCATTGCCGAAGCAGTGCTTCTGAGGCCTTCGTGATTTCTTTCATATTGACCTGTTTATTATTCAGTTAACATTCTTCTTTGGACTTAATTTTTTAAAATTTAATTTTCACTTTTATCAGAATAATACCTCTGAATAGTATGAACAATCAGAATTAGGCAGCTTAGGAGAAGCAGCTCTCTTCATCAGCCCTCCTTGCCTCCAAGTCTTACCCCTCAGAACCAGTGCTTATGATTCTTTTAGTGGTTTATGGTAAAGTGTCTATAGTCCAATATACACTTGACCCGGGAGCTATGCAGCTCCACTTATACATGGATCTTTTTCAATAAACATATTGGAAAAATTTTTTGGAGATTTGTGACAATTTGAAAAAACTCTCAGATGAATTGTATAGTCTAGAAACACTGAAAATTTTTAAGAAAAAGTTAGCTACGTAAAAATGCTAAAAATATATGCAGATGCTCATCTATTTTATCATTTGCTACTATAAAATATACACAGATCTACTTGCAAAGTTAAAATTTATCAAAACAGATGCACACAAACACAGATCATGTATGGCATCCTTCACAGTGGACAGAAATGTAAACAAATGGAAAGATGCAGTATTAAATCATGCTGCACAAAATGAACTGTAGAGCATACTGTGATAATGTAGTAATTTCATAGTCACCTCCTGTTGCTATTGAGGCAAGCTCAGATGCTGTGAGTATCCACTTAAAATGCTGCTCTATGATGTTAATCATCTCTGCCTGAGCAGTTATCGCTCCAGTAAATTGTATACCACAGTACAAAAAAAGTGGCCCCTTGAACTTCTCTCTTATTTTTTGTGTTTAGTGCAATAATATAAACACTGAACAACACCATGGGACCCATACAATGTGATACTAGTGATTCACCCTGGAAATGCTCCCAAGAAGTAAAGTTATGACATTACAAGGAAAAGTTGAATTGCTTGCCATGTACTGCAGACTAAGGTCTGCAGCTACAATTGCCCACAATTTCAAGATAAATAAATCCATCATAAGGATAATTATAAGAAAAGGAAATACATGAAGCCGTCACTGCAGCTATGCCAGCAGGTGCAAAATCCTTGCACTTATACCTTTTAATCTCATATTGAAAATGCAGCTATTCTGTAGTGCAGGATTGCTATAAGAAAGGCATATCTATACACGCTAATGTGATCTGAGAAAAAGCAGTGTCATTCTATGACAACTTAAAGCAAAAGGAAAGTGAAGGATCTGATCTAAAGCTGGAGAATTTAATGCCAGTAACGGATGGTTTGATAATTTCAGAAAGAGGTTTTGTTTGAATCATGTCAAGATAGTAGGTGAAGCAACTTCCATCAACCAAGAGGCAGCAGACAAGTTCCAAGATGTCATTAAGAAAATTATCAAGGAGAAAGTATATCTGCCTGACAGATTTTCATTGCAAGTGAGTGACCAATTCTGGTGGGGGGAAAAGCCAAACATGACATTTACTAGTAAGGAAAAGAATCAAGCATCAGAATTTAAGGCAGGAAGGGTTAAGCTAACTCTACAGTTTTGTGCAAATGCATTTGGGCTTATGATCAGGACTGCCCTTATATCTAAAGCTGCTAACCTCCAAGCCTTGAAGCAAAAAGTTGCTCATCTTTTCGTTGTACAAGAAGGCCTAGAAAACAAGAGCCCCTTTTCCAGATCGATTTCATTGATGCTTTGTCCCTGAAGTCAGGGAGTACCTTACCAGTAGGGGACTGCCTTTTAAAGTTCTTTTGATACTGGACAATGCCCATGGCCATTCAGAACCCCAAAGGTTCAACACTGAAGGCATCAATGTGTTCTACTTGCTTCCAAACCCAAGGTCTCTAATTCAGACTCTAGATCAGGGGGTCACAAGGACCTTTAAGTCTCATTACACGTGGTACTCTACAGAAAGGATTGCCAATGCTATGGAAGAGAACCCCGATAGAACATCTTGAAAGTCTAGAATAATGACACCATTGAAGATGCTATTGTTATGACAGAAAAAGCTATGGAAGCCATCAAGCCCAAAACAATAATTTCCTGCTGGAGAAAACTGTGTCCAGATGTAGTACATGACTTCACAAGATTTACAACAGAGCCAAACAAAAAAATCATGAGAGAGACTGTGGAGAGGCCAAAAAAAAAAATTGGGGATGTGGGTGGAGGTTGAAGGGTTTCAAGATAGGGATCTTGGAGAAAATCAAGAGCTAACAGACACCACACCAGAGGAATTAACATAAGTTGACCTGATGGAGATGTCTGCTTCCAAACCAGTGCCAGACAACGAGGAAGAAGACATAAAAGCAGCAGTGCCA
Source organism: Homo sapiens (assembly GCF_000001405.40). Classification (NCBI taxonomy): domain Eukaryota; kingdom Metazoa; phylum Chordata; class Mammalia; order Primates; family Hominidae; genus Homo; species Homo sapiens. The sequence continues at coordinate 9,404,814 of NC_000017.11, read as the reverse complement.
GAAAACAAACTGGCTAAACGATCTGGCAGAAGGGTTCCAGGGATTCAAGATGGCTTTTGACAGGCCAGGCGCAGTGGCTCACGCCTGTAATCCCAGCACTTTGGGAGGCCAAGGCAGGCAGATCACGAGGTCAGGAGATCGAAACCATCCTGGCCAACATGGTGAAACCCCATCTCTGCTGAAAATACAAAAATTAGCTGGGTGTGGTGGTGTGTGCCTGTAATCCCAGCCACTCGGGAGGCTGAGGCAGGAGAATCACTTGAACCTGGGAGTCAGAGGTTGCAGTGAGCTGAGATCACGCCACTGCACTCCAGCGTGGTGACAGAGCGAGACTCCATCCAAAAAAAAAAAGACTACTTTTGACTTCTTTTATGACATGGACCCTTCTGTGATAATGTGCACTGAAACTAAAGCAAACAGTGGAAGAAGGATTGGTATCATATAGAAACATTTTTAGAGAAATGAAAAAGCAAAGAAGTCAGGCAAATTACAGTGTATTTCCATAAAATTACACCAAGTGTGCCTCCCTTTCCTGCCTCCCCTTCTACCTTCTTCACTTCCTCCACCTCTGCCACCTGAGACAGCAAGACCAACCCCTTTTCTTCCTCCTCCTCAGCCTACTCAATGTGAAGATAACGAGGATGAAGACTTTTATTATGATCCACTTAATAAATTGGTAATATATTTTCTCTTCCTTATGATTTTCTGAATATTTCCTTTTCTCTAGCTTACTTTATTGTAAGAATATAATGTATAATACATATAACATATACAAAATATGTTAATTGACTGTTTATGTTATCAGTAAGGCTTTCAGTTAACAGTAGACGGTTAGTTAAGTTTTGGGGGAGTCAAAAGAGTTGTATGTGGGCCGGATGTGGTGGCTCACTCCCGTAATCCCAGCACTTTGGGAGGCCGAGGCGGGCAGATCATGAGGTCAGGAGTTCGAGACCAGCCTGGCCAACATGGTGAAACCCCGTCTCTACTAAAAATACAAAGAATTAGCCAGGCGTGGTTGCAGACTCCTGTACTCCCAGCTAGTCGGGAGGCTGAGGCAGGAGAATTGCTTGAACCCGGGAGGCAGAGGTTGCAGTGAGCCGAGATCGTGCCACTGGACTCCAGCCTGGGCGACAGAGCGAGACTCCATCTCAGGGGAAAAAATAAAAAAAAAAAAGTGATGTTCAACTTTGCTGGGTGTCGGCACCATAACCTCCAAGTTGTTTAAGGGTCAAATGTAGTTGAATGTCTATTTCTAAATAATATGCTGCTATTTCTTAAATGTTTTCAGTCTTCGACATCTGTTGACTTCCTCCTAAGGAAGATGTTAATCTAACTTGAAGTAAGTCTACACACACACACATTTCCTACTTATGCCATCGCACACACATGTCAGTGTTTTCAGTGTTGAATCAGTGTTTATTGTTCTATGATTATGTAAATGTCATTCACAACTGAGCCATGGTGTGTACTGCAATTAGATTTTATTTCTTTATGCCCTTTTCTCTAAAGTAATTGCTTCTGTTTAAAACTTTGCATAGTTGTCTTTATCGATACTTTCACCACCAGTCCCCCATACCTGTGATAGAATTGTGAAATTCCTCTCTAGATTGATATGGTGTTTGTAGGTAGCCTGTCAGTTTCGTCTTTTGATTGGAGACTCCTCCCTCCCCTGATTCCTTTATCTCCTTGGTCCAGTCTGGACAGACTCTTATGGAGTGTCCCTGTACCACCAAATCCCCTTATCCCTACAATGCCCTTTGTCTCTTTTGGATGTCAGTCCTCTATATGATGGGTTTGTGATGTTCATGTCAGGAGGGCTGTGGCGAGGCAGTCACCAGACCGAAGCTATGAATTCGTGAAGCTCTGCTCGTTGTCTGCTATGAGCTCACAGTTGGGATGGAGCACCCTTGGATATTCTCCGTATCCATAGTCACTGATACAGCCTGGCATTAGCAGGAAGAAGAAAAACACACAAGCACCCAGGATTCTGGAGCAACCCTTTCCTCTTGCATTTTCCCTCTATCGCCCTCTGCTGCGAAAGTTAAGTTTAGCATCATGCTCACTGCAAAGGAGGAATTCTTAGAGTTCAGCCAGTTAGTGCAGAGTAGGTATTGAAGGGTGAATTTGGAGCTGAGAGGTAATTAATTGTTAACTGACATAGAGGAATAAAATACAATGCAAAGTGTCGGTCTCTTGATACATTTTATAAAATTGGGACATTTTCAAGTCAGCAATTGTTTAATGAGTGGGACGCCCCTACCTCATTTTTGTTGCACTGTATTATGTGTAGTACTTTGTATTTGGATTTCTTCTCTATGCTTGGAAAGAAATGCAAGCAGCAGTGTTGGAATAAAATGAGATATATTAGTAAATGATTTAAAAATATATTAAAAAGGCTGGGTGCGGTGACTCACGCCTGTAATCCCAGCACTTTGGGAGGCCGAGGCGGGCAGATCACCTGAGATCAGGAGTTCGAGATCAGCCTGACCAACATGGAGAAACCCCGTCTCTACTAAAAATACAAAAAATTTGCCAGACATGGTGGTGCATGCCTGTAATTCCAGCTACTCAGGAGGCTGAGGCAGGAGAATCGCTTGAACTCAGGAGGCGGAGGTTGCAGTGAGCCGAGATCGTGCCATTGCACTCCAGCCTGGGGAACAAGAGCAAAACGCTGTCTAAAAACAAATAATAATAAATAAATAAATAAATAAATAAACAAAATACAAGGGCTATTGAAAACGTACATATAATCAGAAAATCAAAGATACATGGGCCAACTGTGGCTCTAAGAGACCTGCCTGTAAATCCCTGCCTCTGGAAATTGCTGGTACAGAGCTCTTCCCTTCACATCCCCCCTTTAGAAGGGTGAAACGCACCTAAAAAAATATGTCTGAAGTGTGAAGACTAGGTGGAAAATGGTAGATAACTTTTCCACAAAGGAGGAATGCTCTCTTGTAAAGTAGAGAAAACCTCTTCAAGTTACTTGTTTTTTTAAAACAAGAGTACATGGTTAACTTTGGCTTTCTAACTGACAGATGTCATGGAACTCAATCTGTCAGCATCTCAGTCTTACCCAACTATCTGGGCTTCGTCAGAGATCTCCTATAAGAAAGAGAAATATGGAGAAACCAAGGTGATGTTCCTATGGAATGAGAAGAATGCAGACTATATTTAGTCTGGAGTTAGACCTGAAATTTGAGACAGGAGAGGCATGAGCTTCTGAGTAAAGCATTCAGACTGAAATCCAGAGACCCGTCTTCTCCTGCCCTAGCACTTATTAGTGAGGTAACTTGGACAAGTTACGTAATCCATGTGGGCCTGTTTTGACATCTATAAAATATTCTAACAGCTCCCTGTATATTTTTCCGGATTGACAGGAGTATCAGATGAGACAATAAACAATTTGTAAAATGGTTAGAGTGCTTCAAAATTGTATTACCATCATCATAACTACTTTTAAAACTATTCATTTATATGAAATCGACTGAAAACAGAGTATAAGACCTAACTTAGAAATAACATAAGTTTATGAATTTCATAAAAAGCTAGTCTGTTTTGTTGAGATACAAGAGGAAGAACCCAGAAATAGCATTCTAGACTTTCTCAATCTCTAATTATTTTTAGATTTAAATACTTTGTTCTAACTATAAGAATTTGAAATTAGAATTTGCTCTAAATATTCAATAGCAGGGGCAGATATGGCAATGTAAGGCTGTGATCCTGTTAGCATTTCTGAGTCCAGAAGGAAAGGAAGTTTCTCAGGCTGACATATCCTAAGATCTGGATTTGAAATGTAGGCTATTTTTCAAAGAGAGCAGAGTTCTACTAGTTCGGGTCTAGATATTTCATGAGAGATTCTCTAGAAGCTGGAATGATAAAATAGAGATATAAAAACTGTACAGCATTTTCTATAATTGTGAGGGGGGAAACGTTAGCAAATGACCTTGGCTCACAGTTGGAGGTTGTATTCTGATCCAAGACTTGAAGTTAGATAATCCATGATTGTAACCAACAAGATACAACAGAGCAAAAGTAACCACTGTACATTTTTATAACAATTGAAATAACATAGTTTTACTTTAATAGCATTTAAATAATTCCACTGACTCGGCCGGGCGCGGGTGGCTCACGCCTGTAATCCCAGCACTTTGGGAGGCCAAGGCAGGCGGATCACCTGAAGTTGGAAGTTTGAGACCAGCCTGACCAACATGGTGAAACCCTGTCTCTACTAAAAATACAAAAATTAGCCAGGCGTGGTGGTGTGTGCCTGTAATACCAGCTACTCGGGAGGCTGAGGCAGGAGAATCGCTTGAACCTGGGAGGTGGAGGTTGCAGTGAGCCGAGATTGCACCATTGCACTCCAGCCTGCGTGACAGCGCGAGACTCCATCTCAAAAAAAAAAAAATAAATAAATAAGCCTGGTGCGGTGGCTCACACCTGTAACCCCAGCACTTTGGAGGCTGAGGCAGGCGGATCACAAGGTCAGGAGATCGAGACCATCCTGGCTAACACGGTGAATCCCGTCTCTATTAAAAATACAAAAAATTAGCTGAGCGTGGTGGCGGGCGCCTGTAGTCTCAGCTACTCGGCAGGCTGAGGCAGGAGAATGGCATGAACCCGGGAGGCGGAGCTTGCAGTTAGCCAAGATCGCGCCACTGCACTCCAGCCTGGGCGACAGAGTGAGACTCCGTCTCAAAAAAAAAAAAAATAATAACAACAAATTAAATAAATAAATAATTCCACTGCCTATGCAGAAGCCCCCAAGTTATTATAAAATGTATATATAACATACAGGCACACTCAACTGGATCATAAATTTGGCCTAATAAGCTACCATGTTCATTTTAGTAACTATTCATTAAATATTTACTTAATATTTTGGAAGACACTTATGGAGTAAACTTGAATGATCTCATCTTTCTTTCTTTCTTTCTTTTTTTTTTTTTTTTGAGACAGAGTCTCTCCCTGTTGCCCAGACTGGAGTGCAATGGCGTGATCTTGGCTCACTGCAACCTCTGCCTCCCGGGTTCAAGTGATTCTCCTGCCTCAGCCTCCCGAGTAGCTGGGATTACAGGCACGCACCGCCACACCCAGCTAATTTTTGTATTTTTAGTAGAGATGGGGTTTTGCCATGTTAGTCAGGCTGGTCTCGAACTCTTGACCTCAGGTGATCTGCCTGCCTCGGCCTCCCAAAGTACTGGGACTACAGGTGTGAGCCACCGCACCCGGCCGGATCTCATCTTTCGAACAAAGCAAAACAAAACAGGACAAACAGGGCAGGCTTGGGATGTTTGAGCTGACGCCCACTTTTTCTTTCTTCGACATTTCTTTCTGAATGTTGTGAGAAAGCTGCCAGAATCAGACAGGTTGCACTACAGACCCAGCTTTGCCACTCCTCAGCTCTGTCACTTTGCGCAAACCACTTAACCTTGTTGAGCTTCACCTTTAGTAACACTTGCCTCACATGCCAGCCTAAGGATGAATGGAAACAGTACCTTGCTCATAGGAGCCACTCGGGAATTGTTATGATCCCTTAGTATGTTCTCACTCTTCCATGTAAATAGGGATGCTGTGAGAATGGAAGAAATGGGCCTGCTGAGATTTTTTGGAACCTGAGGTTCATGTGGATATATATATAGTGGAAAAATCAGTTGGCGACATGCCTGAATCTATTGCTGCACCCTTTCCTGTTCCATTTATCATTTTCTCTGTCCGTATGTGAATACTGTACTGTCTTGATTACTGTAGCTTTTTTTTTTTTTTTTTGAGCTGGAGTCTCACTCTGTCACCCAGGCTGGAGTGCAGGGGTACCATCTTGGCTCACTGCAACCTCCACTTCCCAGGTTCAAGCGATTCTCATGCCTCCACCTCCCGAGTAGCTGGGATTACAGGTGCACACCAGCATGACCAACTAATATTTGTACTTTTAGTAGAGACAGGATTTCACAATGTAGGCCAGGCTGGTCTCAAACTCCTGACCCTAAGTGATCCACCAGCCTCGGCCTCCCAAATTACTGGAGGTTCCTTAAGTGAGCACTGCACCCAGCCAGATGACTGTAGTTTTATAGGAAGTCTTGAAATCAGATAGTATGACTTTATTTTTTAGAACAGTTTTAGATTTACAGAGAAATTGAATAGATAGTACAGAGGGTTCCTGTATACTCCACATCCATTTTCCCCTGTAGTTAATGTCTTACATTAGCATGATATATTTGTGCAATTAATGGGCCGATATTGATATATTATCATTAAAGTAAGTTTATTAATATTTTCTTAATTTTGACCCAATGTCCTTTTCCTGTTCTAGGATACGGCATTATATTTAGTTGCTCCATCTCCTTAGTTTCCTCTGAGCTGTGGCGGTGTCTCAGACTTCCCTTGTTTTTGATGTTGACAGTTTTGTGGGGGTAATGCTCAGGTATTTCGTAGGATACTACACAGCTAGAATTTGCCTGATGTTTTTCTTATGATAACACTGGGGTTATGAGTTGTTGGGTGGAAGATCACAGATAAAGTGTATTTTCATCATATCATATCAAGATATGTCACATACTGTGAATGTGATTTGTAACTAATGTTGACCTCGATCACCTGGCTAAGGTGGTGTTCGTTAGGCTTCTCCACCTCGAAGTTACTCCTTCCCCATTTCCACACTGTTCTTTGAAAGGAGTCACTACATGCAGCCTACACCTAAGAAAGAGAGAGTTACACTCTTTCTTCCTTGACAGTGGAGTATTTACATAAACTAGCTGGAGATTTGTCTCTTCGCCTTCACGTATTATTCAATCATGTTATTTTGTTTGTTCTTTCTTTCTTTTTTTTTTTTGGAGACAGAATCTCACTCTGTCCCCCAGGCTGGAGTGCAATGGCGTGATCTCGGCTCACGGCAACCTCTGCCTCCCGGGTTCAAGCGATTCTCCTGCCTCAGCTTCCTGAGTACCTGATATTACAGGCAACTGCCACCAAGCCTGGCTAATTTTTTTTCTTTGTACTTTTTGTACCTTTAGTAGAAACGGGGTTTCACCATGTTGACCAGGCTGGTCTTGAACTGACCTCAAGTGATCACCCCTCTTGACCTCCCAAGGTGCTGGAATTACAGGTGTGAGCTACCGTGCCCGGCCTCAATCATGTATTTTTATCAATATGGACTCATGGATATTTATTTTATACTTTGGGTTATAATTCAAAACAATTTTGTTGTTCAGAATCTTCCACCTTTGGTTATCGAGAACTCTTCCAGTTGGCTTCTGTACTCCTCTGACATACAATGTGGGTTTGTTCTCAAATCCATCACCACATGGATTGTTGTAGCCTCATCCTCTTGCTTATCTGTAGACTATCATTCCAACAGTGAGAGTTTGGCTCCCACTATCTGCTATTCATGTCCTTAATTGGTTTTGTTGTTGTTGTTATTTTTCAACACGGAGTCTTGCTCTTGTCACCCAGGCTGGAGTGCAGTGGCACGATCTCGGCTTACTGCAACCTCTCCCTCCCGGGTTCAAGCAATTCTCCTGCCTCAGCCTCCTGAGTAGCTGAGATTACAGGCACCCGCCACCACGCCCAGCTAATTTTTGTATTTTTAGTAGAGACGGGTTTTCACCATGTTGGCCAGGCTGGTCTCGAACTCCTGACGTCGTGATCTGCCTGCCTCGGCCTCCCAAAGTGCTGGGATTACAGGCGTGGGCCACCGCGCCCAGCCCATGTCCTTAATTGTTTAGTGCCAATGTACATGTATAGCGGTGTCAGAATTGTTAACCTGTACCCCTGTGGGAAACAACTTTACCAACTAGAATTCAGGGCTTATGTGCAAGTCCCTTCGCTTTTAGTCTTATAGATGCCACTCATTTCCAAAGCTACTTAGGTCAGCACCTTCTCTTCCTACCTCATTCAGTGATGTTGTTGCATACATTTGTAATGCAGTTTGATGCCCTTATCACAGTCTGCATTTATTGCTGGAATCTCCAGTCTTCTAAATGATTGTTTTTTTAATGTACATTCATTAAGGTTCACTCCTTGTGCTGTACAGTTCGGATTTTGATACATGCATAATGTCACCTGTCTATCTTTACAGTATCATATAGAGTTGTTTTTTTTTTTTTTCAGATGGTGTTTCACTCTTGTTGCCCAGGCTGGATGGAGTGCAATGGCTCGATCTCGACTCACTGCAACCTCCGCCTCCTGGGTTCAAGCGAATCTCCTGCCTCAGCCTCCCGAGTAGCTGGGATTACAGGCACTCGCCACCATGCCCGGCTAATTTTGTATTTTTAATAGAGACGGGGTCTCACCATGTTGGCCAGGCTGGTCTTGAACTCCTGACCTCAGATGACCCGCCCACCTCAGCTGACCTCAGATGACCCGCCCACCTCAGCCTCCCAAAGTGCGGGATTACAGGCGTGAGCCACTGCGCCCGGCCCATATAGAGTATTTTTACTGCCACCCCGCCCCCCCAAATTCCTATGCTTCCTCCTATTTATCACTCCCCCCTTTCTCCCAAACTCCTGGCAACCACTGATTATTTTACCCTTTCTATAGTTTTGCCTTTCCAGAATGTCATATAATTGGAATCATACAATATATTGTACCTTTTTATGCACACAGGTTGCTAAGAAACACATGTTGATAATCTGTAAATTATTTCATTCAGAGCTGAGCACATTATCATCAGGATTCCAGTCTTCTAAAATAATGGAAAATGTTACTTTTCTTTTCTTTCTTTTCTTATTGTTGTTACCTTAGTAAGCAAAGGTTTTGATGTGGCTTACATTTTTTTAAAGTAAACTTTTCATTGAGGGGCTAGGAAAACTGATGAGGTCTTTATTTATTGCAGCTATTGTAGGGTTGTTTAACGCCTAAGTAATGTAAGGCTTTTTGCACTGTGTCCTCAAATTAGAGCTGTTCTACATGTTTTGTTTTTATGCTGATGATAATATTTTAAAATTAAAAGAATATTCTGGGTCATCTGGGAGGACTAATTGTGTCTGGCTATACAATTCCAGCCCACATTTGAACTTCTGGGTATAATTGTCTTGGATCTTAGTCATTTTTGGCTGTTGAGAAAAGAAGGTATACTTAATATGTAATGAAGTATTTGCTTCCAAGAGAAGGCCAAAGCCTGTCACTAGGCACCGTATAAAGGATGCCTTCACAGTTGACATAAAGAACAGCAGGACAAACCCAAAGGACCTATACCTTAGCCTGTACCATATTTGTGCATTTTTTTGTTTTGTTTTGTTTTGTTTGAGACAGTCTTGCTCCGTCTCCCAGGCTGGAGTGCAGTGGTGCGATCTGGGCTCACTGCAACCTCTGCCTCCCAGGTTCAAGCGATTCTCTTGCCTCAGGCTCCCAAGTAGATGGGATTACAGGTGCCTGGCTGATTTTTTTTATTTTTACCATGGTGGCCAGTCTGGTCTGGAACTCCTTACCTCAAGTGATTGATGTGCCCGCCTCAGCTTCCCAAAGTGCTGGGATTAGAGGCATGAGCCACTGCGTCCAGCTGCCATATTCATGTTTTAAGCACAATTTAGGATTCCCAAAACACGCATTGTCTTCAACATTAAATTATTGTGGTTAAATAGAATTTGGGTTTTGTAGTTTTCATTTTTATATGAATATTTGTTTTAGCACTATAAAGAGCTATAAACATAATGAATATATACTTACATTTATATTTAATTAAATAAATACAGTAACATCAATACTGAGGGGTGTGGAAGAATTTGTTTAAACTTTTTTTTTTTTTGAGACGGGGTCTTGCTCTTTCACCTGGGCTGGAGTGCAGTGGCGCAATCTCTGCTCACTGCAACCTCTGCCTCCCGGGTTCAAGTGATTCTCCTACCTCAGCCTGCCGAGTAGTTGGGATTACGGCGCCCGCCACTACGCCCAGCTATTTTTTTGTATTTTTAGTAGAGATGGGGTTTCATCATGTCGGCCAGGCCAGGCCAGGCTGGTCTCAAACTCCTGACCTCGTGATTCACCTGCCTCGGCCTCCCAAAGTGCTGGGATTACAGGCATGAGCCACTGTGCCTGGCCAAACTTTTTTAAACTTTATAACTGTTTGTGCCTCTAGATTGAGAAACAATGGCTTAGCATCTGGCAATTTTTACTAAATATTGGCAGTTGTTGTTATGGTTTTAAATAATATGAGCTTTTCGGCCAGGCGCGGTGGCTCACGCCTGTAATCCCAGCACTTTGGGAGGCTGAGGCAGGCTGATCACTTGAGGTCAGGAGTTCAAGACGAGTATGGCCAACATAGTGAAACCCCATCTCTACTAAACTGTCAAAAGTTAGCTGGGCATGGTGGCGGGCGCCTGTAATCCCAGCTACTCGGGAGAATCACTTGAACCCGGGAGGCAGAGGTTGCAGTGAGCCAAGATGGTGTCACTGCACTCCAGCCTGGGCAATAGAGTGAGACTTAGTCTCAAAAAAAAAAATGAATTTAAATAAATAAATAAATAATATGAGCTTTTGGTAATACACTAGTCCAGACTTGGCTGTTTTCCCATTCCCACACTTTGACATGTATACATTCCTGCAATTCAGACACTTTGCTCTCTCTCCCCATCCCTCCCACATCCAAAGCCGCGCTTAGCATGGTTGACACTGACTGCCCAGTAGCCCATCCAGTAGACATGGCAAATTCCACACTCCCTTCCTTGCGGCGCTGCCCTCTGTGACAACAGTGTGGGTTTTTTCTTTGTTTTGTTTTTGTTTTTGTTTTTGCCACTTGCTTTGCTTCTATTGTTTTTCCTCCTCTTGTTCTTTACATACTGTGTTCTCTTAGATTCTACCTTTACCTGTATCTCTCTTGTATATTTTTAAATTTTAATTCTTAAATTAACACAAAACAAAATTGACTGTGTTTGTTGTTCTGTGAATTTTTACACATGTGTAGGTTTGTTTAGCCACTACACAAATGGGACCCAGAACCATTCCATTGCTCCAGAAACTTCCTTGTGTTTCTTTTGTAAACCGACCATACTCTCACCCATTCCTAACTCCTGACAACCACTGACTGACCTGTCCTCTGTCACTAAACTTTTGTCTTTGGGATAATGTCATATAAATTGTATCATATATATGAACTTCTTAGTACCGCTTTTTTATTTTTCTATTTTGTTATTTACTGTAGCTTTTTGTATAGATTGTTTTAGTGGTAACTAGGGATGACAATATACATACTTAAAAATTTACAGTCTACTTAGAATCAGTATCTAATCTTTTCACATGGAGTGTATCAACCTTACACCCTATAGGCCCATTTGCCTACCCTGCTCTATGGTATATAATTGTCTTATGTATTATACTTACGTGCATTGAAGATCAGACAGTATGAGTTTGGTTTTCATCCACCAAACAGAGAAGTCAGCTGGAGAATATTTATCCAAATGTTTACCATTTCTGCTGTTCATCCTTCGTTTCAGGTTTCCTACTGGTATCGTTTTTCTTCTGTCTGAAGAACTTCCTTTAGCTGTTCTCTTAGAGTAGATCTGTTGACAACATATTTTCTTAGTACTTCTTCGTCTAGAGTATCTTTATTTCACCTCGGTGCTGAAGGATAGTTTTGCTGGTTATAGAATTTTGTGTTGATAGCTCTTTTCTTTCAGCACTTTAAAACTGGTGCTATACTTCCTTCTGGCCTCTGATTTTTGATGAGAAATCCAGTCTTTGAAATTTTTGTTCCCCTATAAAGCAATGTGTTGTTTTTCTTTGGTTGTGTTCAATTATTTTTTTCTTTGTCTTTAGTGTTCAGCAATTTGGATATGATGTGTTGTGGCCTGGACTTCTTTGTGTTTATCTTGTTTGGGGTTTGCTGAGCTTCTCAAATATGTAGGTGTATGTTCTTTGCCAAATTTAGAAAACTTTCAACCATTATTTGTTCACGTATTTTTTCTGGCCCACACTCTTTTTTCTCTCTTCTGAGACTCCAGTGGCATGAATGTTTGACTTTTTCCCATTATCCCATAGGTCCTTGAGGCTCTATTCATTTTTATTGGAACTATCTTCCAGTTCACCACCTCTTTCCTGTATCATGTCCATTCTGCTATTGATCCCATCCAGTGAGTTTTCAAATTTGGTTATTGTGTTTTTCAGTTTCAAAAGTTGCATTTGGTTCTTCTCTATATTTTTTGTTTCTTTGCTGAGACTATATTTCAAGAGTGTTCACCATTACTTCTTGGAGCATTTTTATTTTTATTTACTTTGTATTTTTGAAACAGGGTCTCACTCTGTCATCCAGGCTGAAGTGTAGTGGTGCAGTCACAGCTCACTGCAGCCTCAACCTCCTGGGCTCAAGTGATTCTCCTTTCTTAGCCTGCTGAGAAGCTGAAACTACAGATGCATGCCACTATGCCCAGCTAATTTTTTATTTTTTGTAGAGACAGGTTCTCACTATGTTGTCCAGACTGATCTTGAACTCCTGGGCTCAAACAATCATCACGATTCAGCTCCCAAAAATGCCTGGCCCAGCATTTTTATTATAGCTGCTTTAAAGTCTTTGTCAGATAACTCCAACAACTATGCTTCTTAGCAATGGCATCTTGTTGTCTTTTCCCAGGTTTCTTATGCAACTTGAAATTTTCCGGATGTTCATATGCTGCAAAATTTTGCGTTGTATCCTGGACATTTTGATTATTATTTTATGAGACTCTGGCTGTTGGTTTAAATCCTACAGAGATGTTGATATTTTTTATTTTAGCAGGCAATTGCCCTGGTTGAGTTGAGGCCACAGGTTCCAACTACCATTGAAGAAGTTTTCAAAGTCTTTCCAGTACTGTTTGGGTCTGTCCCACAGGTGCAGTAGCCAGTGACCAGACTGGGAGTTGGGTGGTTTTCTCTCCTGTAGTTCAGCTCTCAATGTCTACGTATACTATTTGGGGTCAGCTCCGTGTATGCACTTCTCAAAGGAGAATCCAGGACTTCATGAACAACTTTAAGGGGTTGCTTTTCTAAGCTCCTCCCAGTCTGTGATCTTCCTGGTGCATTTTGGCTCCTGAGGCTCCCTTTTTATTTCTCCAGTGTGAAATCTAGGACTTTAGTTACCCTACTCTGCCATATGCTTCCCATCTATATAGCAATATGGTTTCCTTTTTTTTTTTCTCTCTCTCTTTTTCTGTAACCCAATCTAAGTCTGTGGCTTTTTTTTTTCCCTCATCTTTTTATTTTAAAGGTTTTTCTAAAGCTACAGAAAAGTTAACAGTATATTCTTCAGGCATATCTGGTCACCCTTCATTTACTAGATTCACCAGTTGTTAACGTTTAGCCACATTTGTTTTGCTTTTTTGTTGCTGCATGAGTGTGTGTGTGTATTTATGTACCTTTTCCCCCCAGAGCGAATTATTATTATTTAATATTTTTAAATTCTTTTGAGATGGAGTCTTGCTGTGATGTCCAGGCTGGAGTGCAATGGCATGATCTCCGCTCACTGCAACCTCCACTTCCCAGGTTCAAGCAATTCTCCTGCCTCAGCCTCCCAAGTAACTGGGACTACAGGCATGCACCACCATGTCTGGCTAATTTTTGTGTTTTTAGTAGACAGGGTTTCACCATGTTGGCCGGGCTGGTCTCGAACTCCTGACCTCAAGTGATCCACCAGCCTCTACCACCCAAAGTGCTGAGATTACAAGTTGTGAACCACCGAGCCCAGCCTGTGAATGGTTTGAAGTAAGGTGAGGGTGTCTCGTAATGCTTCTATATACTTTGGCATCTGTTCCTAATCTATCTCCTAATATTCTTCTGTGTAGGTTGTTTTCCTATATAACTGCAGTGTCATTAGCATATCCAAGAAACTTAACTTTGATATGGTAATAATGACTAATATGGAGTTTCTATTTAAATTGCTGCCATTGCCCCAATAAAGTTTTGTCACTTTTTTTTGAGGGGGTGCTCCAGCAATCAGATTACAGATTGCGTTTAACTGTTTTGCCTCTTTAATGTCTTTTAATTTAAAATATCTCCCCCTTCTTTTTTTTTTTTTTTTTTTGAGACGGAGTCTCGCTCTGTCGCCCAGGCTGGAGTGCAATGGCGCGATCTCGGCTCACTGCAACCTCCACCTCCCGGGTTCAAGTGATTCTCCTGCCTCAGCCTCCCGAGTAGCTGGGACTACAGGTGCCCACCACCATGCCTGGCTAATTTTTTTTTTTTTTTTGTATTTTTAGTAGAGACAGGGTTTCACTACGTTGGCCAGGCTGGTCTCAAACTCCTGACCTCGTGATCCACCTGCCACAGCCTCCCAAAGTGCTGGGATTACAGGCATGAGCCACCGCACCGACCCTGTGTTACACTTTTTTTTTTTTTGAGACGGAGTTTCGCTCTTGCTGTCCAGGCCGTAGTGCAATGGCGCGATCTCAGCTCACTGCAACCTCTGCCTCCCAGGTTCAAGTGATTCTTCTGTCTCAGCCTCCTGAGTAGCTGGGATTACAGACAACCACCACCACGCCCAGGTAATTTTTGTATATTTAGTAGAGACGGGGTTTCATCAGATTGGTCAGGCTGGTCTTCAACTCCTGATCTCAGGTGATCCGCCCACCTCAGCCTCCCAAAGTGCTGGGATTACAGGCCTGAGCCACTGCGTCCAGACTCCTGTTACACATTTTTAAGCCTAGATGAGAGACCATGGTTTATGGTCAAGAGGAAGTCGGAAAGGAGCCTGTGTTTTTTGCCTAACCTGGCCCATCTGGCTGTGTATAAGGTGTGAGCGAGTGTGGCCAAGGGGAATTTCTGCCAGGCAAAGGAGCTTTCCCTGTGTCCCCAAAGCCTGGGTGGTTCCCAGAGGCTCCACTTTGATCTGCGGGAGTTCCTTGCAGCTCCCTGCCATAGGATGCCATAGGCAAAGCATTACCTTTCCTTTAAGAAGTCACAGATTGGTTTTTCCTTGTGTCCCTGTTCTCTGGAATGTATCTTTTCCTAGTGTACGGTATTATCAGAGGTCACCACCACCCCCCATTTTTGGTTTCCATTGATAAATTTGAGTATGATATCAATTATAGGGAACGGAGGGAATTAAACTAATACCCTCAAGAAAAACTCTATCTTCACTATAGATTTTTTTTAACATTTGTCTTCAAATATTATTAAGAACATAAGCAAAAAGCATAATAACATAATGACTTTACTACTGCCATTATGAGTCCGTTATGAGTATAAAAAGGCACCAAATGTATCTGAAAATATATAGCAAACTCTCTCCCTATATATAGAATGTATTGAGGCTGTAATTGAGAGTAGAAAAATGATGAAGTATTATTGGAGTCGGGTATTTTGACATCATATAATATTTCTTAATCCTTGTGATGCTGTCATTTTGTGGTATACTTTACGTTGTTCCATTTTGTCCATTCTGTGCTGGAATGTCACTCGATATCTCAGATTAACATGTGATTGAAATATAAGCTCCTTCGTGAAACCAAATGCAAGTACTGACCAGGAAGCAGGGTATCAGTTTCTCTTTGGAGGCTCTACAGTCAGGAATCTGAACTAGTCAGCTGGTTGTTTCACAACCTATACTCTGAAACCTGTATTTAATTTGCTCTTAATAGACTGTGGTTAGGGAAATTCCCACCTTGGTAGTGCCTGGTCTGCAGAGTGGGAATTCCCCAAGGCTCTCTGGCCTAGGAAATCTTCTGAGGTCATAACTGACAAGTGGAATGAATCCCATCAAACCAACAGTGGCAGTATAAGTCTATTAAAAAGTAATTTGGCAATCTGTTTCAAAGTTTATGAGGCAGTCATAATCACACTTTGTTAAGGAAATGATTAAAAAGAACCAATGATAATGGAGGAAAGAATTTATAGACTCATTATTTAGAAATATAGAAACATTCTAAGTATCCAACAATGGGCTATTATTTAAGGAATGGTTATTTTATGGAATGAATATTTTGTAACCATGAGAAATTATAACTGAAGACTTTGTAGCTACATGAAAAAATACAAATGATATCATTAGATGGGGGAGGCTTATATATTGCAATTAAATGAAAATGTATGGTTTTTTTTTTTTTTTTTCTTTTTTTTGAGACAGAGTTTTGCTCTTGTTGCCCAGGCTGGAGTGCAATGGCACTGTGTTGGCTCACTGTAACCCCCGCCTCCTGGGTTCAAGCAATTCTCCTGCCTCAGCCTCCTAAGTAGGTGGGATTACAGGCATGCACCACCACACCCGGCTGATTTTGTATTTTTAGTACAGATGGCATTTCTCCATGTTGGTCAGGCTGGTTTTGAACTCCCGACCTCAGGTGATCCGCCCACCTCGGCCTCCCAAAGTGCTGGGATTACAGGCGTGAGCCACCACGCCCGAAAAAATGTATATGTTTATGTCAAATTGTAGTGAACACATGGGGGAATTACACTGTTGTTATACTGGGGTATTTGGATAATGTTTACTTTTTCCCCTCGCATTTATAAACTGCTATTGAATAATTTTTATAACTTAAAAAGTAGAGTTGTTTAGGCCGGGCATGGTGGCTCACGCCTGTAATCCCAGCACTTTGGGAGACAGAGGTGAGTGGATCACCTGAGGTCAGGAGTTCGAGACCAGCCTGGCCAACATTATGAAACCCTGTCTCTACTAAAAATATAAAAAATTAGCTGGTGTGGTGGCAGGCATCTGTAATCCCAGCTACTCAGGAGGCTGAGGCATGAGAATCACTTGAACCTGGGAGGCGGAGGTTGCAGTGAGCCGAGATCACACCACTGCACTCCAGCCTGGGCAACAAGAGCGAAGTAATGTCTCAAAAAAAAAAAAAAAAAATAGAGTTGTTTAGAAACAACAACTAATAAAGAGGAGAGGTTTACCAACCAAAATGAAAAACTTCGTTTTCGGTCTAGATTAAAACATTAATCCCTACAAGTGTTGACTACTGGTTTTCATTGATCTAATCTGCTACAGATTTATTGATTTACCTCTAAGTCATATTATGAATATTTATAAACTTACAAAGAAATCTATCTAGAAACCCAGTTAACATATAACATCCGACATACTGTATTTCTTGTCAGACAAGGAATATTTTGCACTTGATTTTCTTATAGTAACAGAGGCTATTAGCCCTGAATTTTGTATTATGTATTGTGGCGTTGATGCATCACGCAATACTGATTGTATTCGGTTGCGTGAGAACAGTGTACCAAGCTCAGAGTCAACTACAAGGCCAAGTACAAAGCATGATTGTTACTGTGGACTGTCTTGATAGAGAATGAGGCACAGATCATAAAAATGCCCACTTTTTGGCCAGGCGTGGTGGCTCACGCCTGTAATCCCAGCACTTTGGAAGGCCAAGGCGGGCGGATCATGAGGTCAGGAGATCGAGACCATCTTGGCTAACACGGTGAAACCCGTGTCTACTAAAAATACAAAAAATTAGCCGGGTGTGGTGGCGGGCGCCTGTAGTCCCATTACTCGGGAGGCTGAGGCAGGAGAATGGCGTGAACCCGGGAGGCGGAGCTTGCAGTGAGCCGAGATCGTGCCACTGCACTCCAGCCTGAGTGACAGAGCGCAAGACTCCCTCTCAAAAAGAAAAAAAAGCCCACTTTTACATATGCTACTATATATAAACTCAGCTGTGTTCAATGCTGATGAGACAAAGACTGAAGCTATGTGTCCAAGTCCTCCCATCACGTTTTTAGGAAGAATACTATGCCCAGAGCATCAGGATGTCACAAGATCTCGAAATCACTTCCTTTGAGCGTTTGCTAAAGTTTGGATCTAAGTATCTTTAACCTAGAGGAGAAGACCAAGGAGATATATGAGGAAAATTATGAAGGAAAGAACACTGATATTGTGTTGGTCTAGAAATACTTAAGGGGTGCCTGTAATTTCAGCTACTTGGGAGGCTGAGGCAGGAGACTTGTTTGAACCCGGGAGGTGGAGGTTGCAGTGAGCTGAGATCGCGCCACTGCACTCCAGCCTGGGCAACAAGAGTGAAACTCTGTCTCAAAAAAAGAAGAGGAAAAAAGAAAGAAAAAGAAATACCTAAGGTAGAAGTTGAGAGCAGGCAGAATTTTAGCTCAGAATAAAGGACTTTATAATTATCAAAGTCACCCTCTAACTCAGCCATGGAACTGATTTTCTCATGAGTTTCCATGTTACCAGTCTCTGGGAGTGTTTGGTGAAAGATTAACCATCCCACTGCCAGGGATGTTATAAAAGGGGAAGGAACTACAAGGTGATTGCATGACTCTTGCAGGTCTGAAATTTTGTTATTCTAAGGCATTTGTTTTGTCTTGCCTGCCTGCCTGCCTGCCCGCCTGCCAGCTCCCTCCCTCCCTGCTTCCCTCCCTCCTGACTTCCCTTCCTCCCTTCTGTGTGTTTTGACAGCTGTACCCATTTGCGTGAATTTGTATGACCTTTCGAACATTTCCATCCTCCCAGAAAGTTTCCTCATGTCCCTTTCTAGTCAAGCACCCCAGAGGCAACCACTTTCTGATGTCTATTTTGTAGGCTAGGTTTATCCTTGTATTTCTTATAAATGGAATCACAAAGCATATAATGATTGTTTTCTTATTTTTAGCCAACAAAACTTTTTGAGATTTAGACAGTTGTGGCATGCATGAGTAGCTCATGCTTTCTATTGCCGAATAGTATTCCATTAACAGATATACCCCAATTTGCTTTTCTGTTCTCCTAATGATGGATATTTGGGTTGTTTCTAGTTTGGGGCCCTCATGAATAAGGTTGCTATGTATATTTTTGTACAGGCTTTTTTTTTTTTTTTTTTGAGAAATAGGCTTTTATTTCCGTTTGGTAAATACCTAGGAGTGAGCCAGGCATGATGGCTCATGCCTGTAATCCCAGCCGAGGCAGGTGGATCACCTGAGGTTAGGAGTTCAAGACCAGCCTGGCCAACATGGTGAAACCCCGTCTCTACTAAAAATTCAAAAATTAGACAGGCGCAGTGGCGCGTGCCTGTAAATCCCAGCTACTCAGGAGGGCGAGGCTGGAGAATTGCTTGAACTCGGAAGCGGAGGTTGCAGTGAGCGGAGATCGTGCCACTGCACTCCAGCTCCAGGGTGGTAATAGAGCAAGATGCCACCTCAAAAAACAAAAAACAAAAAACCTAGGAGTAAAGTTTCTGGGTAAGATGGTAGATATATGGTTAACTTGATGAGAATTGACAAATACTTGTACAGCGCCCTTTGTGCCATATTTTCCCCCAACAATTAGTATTGTAAGTCTTTAGTTTGCACACTGTAGTGAGTGTGAAGCAGTATCTTATTTTGGTTGAAATTTGCATTTCCCTAATGACTTAACAATATTTGAGCTGTTTTTCATGTGTTTATTGGCCATTTGTATATCTTCTTCTGTAAAACATCTGTTCAGATCTTTTGCCTATTTTAAAGTTAGCTTTTCTTTATTGTTAATATGTAGGAGATCTTTATATACTCTAGATACAAATACTATGTCAGATATATGTTCTACAAATATTTTCTACCATTCTGTGGCTTATTTATTAATTTTTGTAATAGTATCTTTGGATGAACAGAAAATTTCTCTTGATAGAGAATGAGGCGTGGATCATAAAAATGTCCACTTTTACATATGCTACTATATATAAACAGAACTGTGTTCAATGCTGATGAGACAAAGACTGAAGCCATGTGTCCAAGTCCTCCCATTACATTTTAGGAAGAATACTATGCCCAGAGCATCAGGATGTCACAAAATCTAGAAATCACTTCCTTTGAGGATTTGCTAAATCAGATTGACCAATCTCTTTTCTTTTGTGGATAGTCTTTTTATGTCCTGTCCAAGAAATTTTTGCCTACCTACTCCAGGCTATAAAAATTTTCTCTCTTTTTTTTTTTTCTTTTAGAAGCTTTACAGTTCTAGGTTTTACAGTTAAGTCTATGAACCATCACAATTTTTTTTTTTTTTTGGTATGGAGAGAAAAGGGTTGAGGGGTTTTTTACTTCCTCATACATATATCCAGTTTTTCCAGCACCATATGTTGAAAAGAATTTTCTTTCCTTTGTTGAGAATTGAGCACGTGCGTGTGTGCATGTACACACACACACACACACACACACAAGTCTATCTGGACTCTGTTTTGTTCCATTGATGTGTTTGTCCTTATTCTAATATCAGACTCTCTTGATTAGTATATATTTATAATAAATTGTGAATTTTGGTAACATAATACCTCCAACTTGTTTTGTTCTGTTTTGTTTTGTTTTGTTTTGTTTGAGATGGAGTCTCGCTCTGTTGCTCAGGCTGGAGTGCAGTGGGTGCCTTTCTTGGCTCTCTGCAAGCTCCGCCTCCCGGGTTCATGCCATTCTCCTGCCTCAGCCTCCCGAGTAGCTGGGACTACAGGAGCCCACCATCACGCCTGGCTAATTTTTTGTATTTTTAGTAGAGACGGGGTTTCACCATGTTAGCCAGGATGGTCTCAATCTCCTGACCTCATGATCCACCCGCCTAGGCCTCCCAAAGTGCTGGGATTACAGGCGTGAGCCACCGCATCCAGCCTGTTTTTCTTTGTTAAGATTATTTTGGTTATTCTAAATAATTTTCTTTGTAAATTTTAGAATTGGCTTGCAGGTTTCATTTTAAAAGCCTGCTAGAATTTTGATTAAGATTGCATTCAATGTATAAAATTCTGTACGATATCTGTCAATTGAAAAAAAAATGAACCAGTATCTTTAAAATACCGTGTTCTCTCTTATAAATGAGCAACCAATATATGAAAAAAAAAAAAATAACAAATGAGGGTGAGGATATGTGGAGAAAAAAAGGAACTCTTTTATACTGTAGGTGGGAATGTGAACTAGTACAGCTATGATGGAGAACAGCATGGGGGTTCCTCAGAAAACCACAGATAGAACTACCATATGGGTCAGGCCAGTTCTCCTTTTTTTAGGCCTTCTTTCATTTCTCCCAGCAATGTTTTATAGTTTTTATTATAGAGGTCTTACACATCTTCAGTTAGATTTATTTCTGAGTATGTAATATGGCTTTTGATGCCGTTATAATGGATTTTTTTACTTTTATTTTTTCTCCGTTCTTTATCACTGGTATATAGAAATATATTGCCTTTTACTATTGACTGTATGTGCAAATTTATTAGATTTACTTACTAGTTCTAGTAGTTTTTAAATAGACTTTATCGTTTTCTGGGTGTACAATCATGTCATCTGCAAATGCACCTTTACAGCTCCCTTTCATACCTTTTTGCTTTCTTCCCCCCTGCCTTATTGAACAATCTGGGACTTCTAATAAAATGTTCAACAGATGCTGTCAGAATAGACGTCATAGCCTTGTTCCTGATCTTAGATAAAAAATGTTCCATGTTCCACCTGTAAGTATGATGTTAGCTCTGAGAGTTTTAAATATAGATAGCCTTCCTCAGGCTGAAGAAGTTCCCTTTCGTTTCTATTTTGCTGATAATTTGTATCATGGATGGACACTGAATTTCGTCATACCCTTTGTCTGCATTTATTGAGATGATCATACTATTAGCTCCTTGAGTCTGATCATTGATTTCACATCTTTCTTCTTTACTAATATATGCATTTAGAGCACTAAACTTCCATAAGTCGTGCTTTAGTAGCATCCTAAAAACTTTTGTGCTAGGTTGTTGTCTTGTTCTATTCAAGCTGCTATATTAAAATGCCATCAACTGGCTGGCTTATAAACAATAGAAATTCTCACCGTTGTGGAAGCTGGGGAGTCAAGATCAAGGTGCCTACAGATCTGGTGTCTGGTGAGGATCTGTTTCCTGGTTCATAGACAGCTGTCTTCATTGTAACTTCACATGGTGGAAGAAATGAGGATGCTCTCTAGGAACTCTTTTATAAGGTCATAAATCTCATGCATGGAACAGGATTCGTTCATTCATACGGGCTTTACTCTCATCACCATTCACCTCCCAAAGGCCCCACATCCAAATGTCATCACACTGGTGATGAGGCTTCAACATAATTTTGAAGGCACACCAACATCCAGTCTATAGCAGTTGTCCTTCTTTCTGCTTTCTGCTTTCTCTTGTGGTTTCATCTTTGCCCTGTGGGGAAATCAGAAGTGTTTTCCTTAATTTTCAAATATGACAGAATTTCCCATTTTTGACATGTGTCCTTTCATCATGATGAAAAGTTCCTTTTTATGTCTAATAATACTCCTTTTCAAGAAGTCTGTCTGGTCTGATATTAATATAGCTTTGCCACCTTTCTCATACAAACACTATGCTTTATAGTGAGTTTCATAGCAAAGTATATAGTTGTGTCATCTTTTTTTAAAAATCTTGCTGGGGGAGGGATAGCATTAGGAGAAATACCTAATGTAAATGACGAGTTGATGGGTGCAGCAAACCAACATGGCACATGTATACCTATGTAACAAACCTGCACGTTGTGCACATGTACCTAGAACTTAAAGTATAATTTAAAAAAGAAAAAAAATCTTGCGTGATACCCTTTGTCTTTTAATTGAAAAGTTTAGTCTGTTTACATTAATGTGACTATTGATATAGTTGAATTTAAGCATGCCAGATAGATATTGTATTTCTGTTCCTTTCATCCCATCTATCTTTTGTTCCTCTTTACCCCTTTCCTGAATCATACATTTTTAGTATGTAATTTTATTTCTTCTGTTAATTTTTATTTTAAAACTATACCTCTTGGCAGGGCATATGTGTGTGTGTGTGTGTGTGTGTGTGAGTGTTTTCTTGGTTTCTTTTTTAAGTTATTGCTTTAGAGCTGAGTTGTTCGATACATGTAGCTATTTATATTTTAATTCATTGAAATATGAGAGAATTAAAATATGTTCTGAGTATTGTATAGAAAATGAATTAAAATGAATCAGGACTAGAAACAAGGATAAGTTAGGACATTGTTTGTTTGTTTGTTTGTTTTTTCCCCCAAGACAGAGTCTTGCTCTGTCACCCAGGCTGGAGTACAGTGATGCGATCTCACCTCACTGCAACCTCCACCTCCTGGGTTCAAGCAATTCTCCTGCCTCAGCCTCCCAAGTATCTGGAATTACAGGCGCACGCCACCATGCCCAGCTAATTTTGGTATTTTTAGCAGAGAAGGGGTTCCACCATGTTGGCCAGGCTGGTCTCAAACTCCTGACCTTGTGATCCGCCCGCCTCGGCCTCCCAAAGTGCTGGGATTACAGGCGTGAGCCACCAGCCCATTCATTGTCTTTATCTTTTCATATTTATTTTATCTTGCTGTATACAAGGCATTCTCCTAGGGGTGGGAGGTATAAGGATGAATAAAAATTAGTTTGTATCATAATCTTCCTGTTAAAGACATGTAAACAAATCGATAGAATATAACTATACGGTCTATAAATAAGAGGTTTGTAGGAAGTGCTGCAGGAGGCAAGAAGCAGGAGCACCCAACTCCTTTGTGCCTTTCAGATACTATTCTTTTTGCATGGGTTGCCTTTTTCCTGCTTTTTCACCCATGTCGCCTTCAGAATTTAGCTCACACATCATTCTGGAAACTTTATTTGATTTCCTTGTTTGCTTTACTTAATGCTTTAAGAAAAATGGTGACTGGTATTGAACAGCACATCTCCAAAGCAGTCACTATAAAAACAGGAAGGAGGGAGAAGGAGGGAGGAAAAAAAAAAAACAAAATGAAAAATATAATAGTCATAAATCCCTTGACAGAGATATGTTCTGAGAAATGTGTTGTTAGGTAGTTTTCTCATTGTGCGAACATCATGGAGTGTACTCACACAAAACTAGATGGTAAAGCCTGCTGCATGCCTAGGCTATATGTATGGTATGGCCTATTGCCCCTAGGCTGAAAACCTGTACAGCATATTATTGCATGTAAGCAGTTGTAACAAGATGGTAAATATGGTCGGGTGCAGTGGCTGACGCCTGTAATTCCAGCCCTTTGGGAGGTCGAGGTGGGTGGATCATTTGAGGTCAGG
Organism: Homo sapiens; assembly: GCF_000001405.40. Classification (NCBI taxonomy): domain Eukaryota; kingdom Metazoa; phylum Chordata; class Mammalia; order Primates; family Hominidae; genus Homo; species Homo sapiens. The sequence goes on along the minus strand of NC_000017.11, from coordinate 9,380,939 downwards.
AGTTCGAGACCAGCCTGGCCAACATGGTGAAACCCCATCTCTACTAAAAATACAAAAATACAAAAATTACGGGTGGTGCGCACCCGTAATCCCACTTACTTGGAAGGCTGATGCGGAAGAATCGCTTGAACTTGAGAGGCAGAGGTTGTGGTGAGCTGCTATGACACCACTGCACTCCAGCCTGGGCGACAAGAGTGAGACTCCCTCTAAAAAAAAAAAAAAAAAAAAAAGTTTCTGTATCCAAACATAGAAAAGGTACAGTAAAAATATGGTATTATAACATTATAATACTGTACCACTTATGGTACTACTGTCGTAGATGTGGTCGGTCATCGACTGAAATGTCATGTGGCACATGACTATATAGGCTCACTGTAAGAAATTCAGGCCAGGCACAGTGACTCATGGTTGTAATCCTAACACTTTGAGAGGCTGACACAAGAGGATCTCTTGAGGCCAGGAGTTTGAGACCAGCCTGGGTGACATAGCAGGGCCTGGTCTCTACAAAAAATTTAAACAATAACCTGGGAGTGGTGGCACATGCTTACAGTCTCAGCTACTCAGGAGGTTGAGATGGGAGGATTGCTAGAGCCTTGAAGACTGCAGTGAGCTATTGTGGTACCCTGTATCCAGTCTGGGTGACAGAGCAAGACCCTCTCTCTCAAAAAAAAAAAAAAAAAAAAAACACACAGAAATTCAAACAACACAGAAAAATGCAAGGAAGAAGGCAGCAGTCACACAGGATCCCACCATCTAGAAATAATCATTAGTAGCATTAGATTAATATTATCCACATATACCCCTATAGGTTTGTAAATATAAAAAGATGGATACAAATAATTTTACATAGTTAAGATCGTACTATACTATATATGCTATTTTAAATGTTGTGAAGGGCTCAATTTCACTTAAAAAGATTAGAATTAAAAAAGAAATGAATTTCACATCAAGGATTCTTTTCTTTTTTTTTTTGAGACAGAGTCTCTCTCTGTCGCCCAAACTGGAGTGCAGTGGTGCAATCTCGGCTCACTGCAACCTCCACCTCCCTGGTTCAAGCGATTCTCCTGCCTCAGCCTCCCGAGTAGGTAGGATTACAGGCATGCGCCACCATGACCGATTAATTTTGTATTTTTGGTAGAGACGGGGTTTCACCATGTTGGTCAGGCTGGTCTCGAACTCCCAACCTCAGGTGATCCTCCTGCCTCGGCCTCCCAAAGTGCTGGGATTATAGGTGTGAGCCACCGTGCCCAGCCCACATCAAGGATTCTTTACAAGAGATAGTAATTACTAAAAGATCCCTCAAGCTTAACAAAAAACATTAAAGTTTTGGTGATTTTAAAAGGCTACAAGTTTCTGTATGATTAACTTTTCAACTGCTCGATATGCCTCGTTGCGAGAGATGAAGAAATTAGCACTTTCAATTTCTTTTCACCTTCCTTCCCCACTCGCAACCACTGACTAATTTTTCAGTTGGAATTACATTGTACTGTTGTGACCTTTCTGTACCTTTCTGTTATCTAATCCACGTATTTGTTTACTCTTAGTCCAGTATTTAAATGGATTTGGTTCTCTCCATCATCTCTTTATTTATCTTTTGATTGGCTAGATTTCTTCATCATGTAGTTTTCTCAAGAAGGGCCCAGGTAGTCCCTGAAGTCTACTGTGCCGTCTGTTCCTTTTTTTTTTTTTTTTTTTGAGATGGAGTCTTGTTCTGTCACCCAGGCTGGAATGCAGCAGCGTGATCTTGGCTCAGTGCAACCTCTGCCTCCCGGGTTCAAGCGATTCTCCTACCTCAGCCTCCCGAGTAGCTGGGATTACAGGTGCACACCACCACACCCGGCTAATTTTTGTATTTTTAGTAGAGAAAAGGTTTCACTATGTTGGCCAGGCCGGTCTCGAACTCCTGACCTCAGGCAATCCTCCCTCCTCAGCCTTCCAAAGTGCTGGGATTATAGGCGTGAGCCACCGTGCCTGGCCTGTCTGTTCCTTTATACTTGAATGACAGCTTGGCTAGGCATAAATTCGGCAGGTCATGCTTTCTTTCCTCTGAATGTGGCATTTCTCCTGTCTGCTGGAATTGTGTTAAATCAGTTTTCTTCTTTACTACTGCTTTTTTTTTTCCTTTTACAATCAGAATTGCAGTTTTCAAAGAATCGACATGAGTTCTGTACCTTTTCAGTTACTGCACTCGAGATCATTATTGCTAGGATGAACAACCACAGCTGTGATACTGTGATGTGAACCGGGGTATTTCAGGAATAGTAATCATGTATGTTTCCTTTCTAGAGATAATTGACGACCTTGCCAACCTAGTGGAGAACACAGATGAAAAACTTCGCAATGAAACCAGGCGGGTAAACATGGTGGACAGAAAGTCAGCCTCTTGTGGTAAGAGATAGCTACGTTATGGCTCTGTTTCTGTCATAGCTTGTGGATTTACTCTGCTCTGAGTTTCCTGTTTGTCTAATTACTGTGGGGATTTGGTTGCTCTTCTGATACAGGCAGTTCCATTTGATGAAGCACTGAAATTGCTAAACAATGGTTAAATCTGGTCAAAATGAAATGGAGTTCAAAGGGCATATCATTCATTGTTTTTTTGTTGTTGTTTTTGTTTTTAATTTAAAAGTCCTTTCTGTGTGTTTACAGAGATTAATGGTTTGGGAAATTGTATAACATTATACTGGTTGGCGGGTTTTAAAGGGGATCTCACTTGCTTTTGTGCCGTCTTAAAATAACCACAAGCTTAATTGAGTTCAAATCCTATGTTTAGTGATGGTATCTTTGTCAAGTCACCTTACCTCTTGATACCTTGTATGTAAAATGGGGATTCATATGCCAAGATAAGAATCGCTTGGAGGGCTTGCTTAAAATACTGATCCTGAGGCCCTCCCCTGGGGATTCTGATTGAGTAGATCTAGGGTGGAGTTCAAGAATGTTCATTATTTAACAAGTGTACCAAGCAGTTCTGCTGCAGGTGCTTGTTCTGCAGAAATTCTGATGCAGACTTTTGTGAGGTTTAAATTGTGTATTGCCGGTGCACAGTGCCTTGCCCAAAGGTACGTGATGATAAATGATGGGAATAGCAGTAGTAATCACAGTAATTGTTTTTGGGTGCTTCGTCTCACAAGGGTGCACCAAGATTATAAAGCTGACATATTTATGAAAACTAGAATCACAGGCCACCTGCAGTGGCTCAGGAGTTTGAGACCAGCCTGGGCAACATAGCAAGACCTCTCTGTCTCTATAAAAAATTTAAAAATTAGCAGCCTGGGCAACATGGCGAGACCCTGTCTCTACTAAAGATACAAAAAAATAGCCAGCCATTGTGGTACACACCTGTAGTAGTCCCAGCTACTTGGGAGGCTGAAGAGGGAGAATTGCTTGAAGGTTGCAGTGAACTGAGATTGTGCCATTGCACTCCAGCCTGGGTGACAGAGTGAGACCCTGTCTCAAAATTAATTAATTTTAAAAATTAGCCAGGCATGGTGGTATGTGCCTGTAGTCCTAGCTGCTTGGGAGGCTGAGACAGGAGAATCACTTGAGCCCAGGAGGCTGAGGCTGCAGTGAGCCATGATTGTCTTACTGTACTTCCACTTGGGTGACAGAGTGAAACCTTGTGTCTTTAAAAAAAAAAAAGAATTACAAAAGCAATTTAAAAAAAACCTAGAGATCTGAGAACATACTTTGCCAAACTTTCAGCCTTTTTAATATGAAAAATGTAATGGATCCTCTCCATCTGTCCACTTTGGAAGCTCTGGGCAAGGGTCCCTGAGATGTGCAGCTTCAGAAGCATCACCTTCCCTGGCTGTGTTTGCTCAGTAAGAAAGAAGGCTAGAACAATGGGGTGAGAGAGGGTCAGGCACATAGAGACTCTGCAAGCTCAGAGGTAGTGGAGCCCCATGGGGTCTCCTTGAGACCCTTTATCACCACTGTCCTGCCCGACCATCCTGCCCTGTGCTTCTGGTCCTCAGTTTTTGCTTTATCAATCTTCTCCCATAACTTCTGGCCACAGGGACTTTGTTATCTATGATAGATCCTGAAACTTTAAAGATGAGAGATACTGTGTCCGGAATTGGTTCCTTCAGGTGGGTTCTTGGTCTCGCTGACTTCAAGAATGAAGCTGTGGACCCTCGCAGTGAATGTTACAGTTCTTGAAGATGGTGTGTCCGGAGTTTGTTCCTTCCGATGTTCAGATGTGTCCGGAATTTCTTCCTTCCGGTGGGTTCGTGGTCTCGCTGACTTCAGGAGTGAAGCTGCAGACCGTTGCAGCCGGTGTTACTGCTCACAAAGGTGGTGCGGACCGAAAGAGTGAGCAGCAGCAAGATTTATTGTGAACAGTGAAAGAACAAAGCTTCCACAGCATGTAAGGGGACCCGAGCGGGTCAGGGTTGCTGCCTCAGGTGGCCTGATTTTATTCCTCTCTTTGGCTCCGCCCATGTCCTGCTGATTGGTCTATTTTACAGAGTGCTGATTGGTCCATTTTACAGAGTGCTGATTGGTCCATTTTACAGAGTGCTGATTGGTCTATTTTTACAGAGTGCTGATTGGTGCGTTTACAAACCTTAAGCTAGACACAGAGCACTGATTGGTGCATTTTTACAGCGTGCTGGTTGGTGTGTTTTACAGCATGCTGGTTGGTGTGTTTATAAACCTTTGTCTAGACACAGAGCGCTGATTGGGGCATTTTTTACAGAGTGCTGATTGGTGCGTTTTCAAACCTTTAGCGAGACACAGAGCGCTGATTGGTGTGTTTATAATCCTTTAGTGAGACAGAAAAGTTCTCCAAGTCCCCACCCGACCCAGAAGTCCAGCCGGCTTCACCTCTCAATATGAGTTCACTTCCACCTCTCTCTTAATCTGGGCCTCAGTTTCCTAATTATAAGAAAGCGGAGAATTTGGTTATCAAAATTCAGTTGTATGGACTATGTAAAGTGTCCAGTGCTGGCCACCTCCCCCAGCTTTCCATACGTATGTGAGAGGTGCCAGAGCATAGATATCATGAGAGTGAGCTCTAGAGCCTGGCCTCACACCCGAGCTTCACGAACTCTCTCTAGCTGCGTGACCTCAGGAAAGCCTAAACTCCCTTTTGCCACGATTTTCCCATCTTTGAAATGGGGATAATAGAGATATAGACCTCAAAGGATTGTTATGAGAAATAAATGATTGCGTGTATGTAATATATATATGTATGTATGTGTATGTGGGTATATATGTATATGGTTGGTGCAAAAGTAAACGTGGTTTTTGCCATTACTGCAATGACTTTGGCACCAACCTAACATATATATATCACTTAAAACCATCTTTGGTACATTGTGTGCGGTGAGCAAGTACTGGTATTAGCTCTCGTTACTATATGTCTAGAGCAGGAAGACATACAATGTTATATATGTTGTTTTTGTTGTTCTCAGCAATTATGTTGCTAGTTTGGAATGAATATATTCATAGACATGTTGGCAAGTTTTTGTGTTTGCAACATAGTAACTCAGCACATGCCACTCATGAAGTCATAATGAATGTGGAATATTTCTTACACTGTTGCCAGTTTTTAATTTGATGTTAATATCTGGTGTGTAGTATTTTTACCCAGAAGTGTCATAATGTCTTCTGAGCTGGACTCTTAAGTGTTGTTTTTTGAAAATAGAAAAGAATTTAAGGAATCCCAGAAGTACTAAAATACGTTTGGAAAACTTGTGTCCATATTTTAAAATAACTATACATTTATCTCATGCCTCATTTTATTTAATTATATATGTATATATTATCTGCCACAGAATTATATGTAATGATTCAAAAGGGAGAAGTTCATCAGTATAGCAGTGTTAAGTAGATACTGAAAAAAGAAAATTCTTCTTTTTTTTTTTTTTTTTTTTTTTGAGACAGAGTCTCACTCTGTCACCCTGGCTGGAGTGCAGTGGCACAATCTCAGCTCACTGCAACCTCTGCCTCCCAGGTTCAAGTGATTTCTCCTGCCTCAGCCTCCTGAGTAGCTGGGATTAAGGCGTGCACCACCACACCCAGCTAATTTTTGTATTTTTAGTAGAGATGGAGTTTCACCATGTTGCCCAGGCTGGTCTCAAACTCCTGACCTCAGGTGATCTGCCCACCTTAGCCTCCCAAAGTGCTGGGATTACGGGTGTGAGCCACCGCGCCCAACCTCTTTATTCTTTTAATGGAAATACTTTAGAGATCATTATTTCTGTTATTTCTTCAATTCTTTTTGTAATATTTACTTAATAATTTTATCAGTATTATGGATCAACAACCAAGTAACTGTACTTATTTCCTATGCCTGATACCTTTACAGGACAATTTTTGCATTTTATATATGCATTTGTTGACATGCAGTGCTAGTTTTTGCATGTCGATGAAGGTCAGCATGTGGTCTCTAAAGCTGTACGGGGGTCAGTCAAGTATTTAAGCCTCTCAGGAATTTCCTTTTAAGCCTTCAACTGATCAATATTATGCCTGTGAACACAAAGCATATTGTGGAACTTACTGAGTAGGTCTAGCAACTCTTGGCAAAATTAACCTGACCTGTTTAAAAAAATTTCTTTTGGCTGGGCATGGTGGCTCACGCCTGTAATCCCAGCACTTTGGAAGGCCGAGGCATGTGGATCACCTGAGGTCAAGAGTTCAAGACCAACCTGGCCAACATGGTGAAACCCCATCTCTACTACAAATACAAAAATTAGCCAGGCGTGGTGGTACACGCCTGTAGTCCCAGTTGCTTGGGAAGCTGAGGCAGGAGAATCGCTTAAACCTGGGAGGCAGAGGTTGCAGTGAGCCGCGATCGTGCCGCTGCACTCCAGCCTGGGTGACACAGTGAGACTCCATCAAAAAAAAAAAAAAATTAATTGTGGTAAAATATATATAGCATAAAATTTACCATCTTAACTACATTTAAATGTACAGTTCAGTGGCATTAAAAAAAAGAAATTCTAGAGATAGAGTCTCACTTCGTGGCCGAGGCTGTCCAGAACTTTTTTTTTTTTTTTTTTAGATAGAGTTCTGCTCTTGTTGCCCTGACTGGAATGCAATGGTGCAATCTCAGCTCACTGCAACCTCTGCCTTCCGGGTTCGAGCGATTCTCCTGCCTCAGCCTCCTGAGTGGCTGGGATTACAGGCATGCGCCACCACATCTGGCTAATTTTGTATTTTTAGTAGAGACAGAGTTTCTCCATGTTAATCAGGCTGGTCTCAAACTCCCAGCCTCGGGTGATCCACCCTCCTCGGCCTTCCAAAGTGCTTGGATTACAGGTGTGAGCCACTGCGCCCAGCCACTTTTTTTAACATCCCAAACTGAAATTTATCCAAGACAATAATTCCCTATTCCTCCCTCTTTCAGCCCTTGGTAACTACTTTTCTACTTTCTGTCTCTGTAGATATGATTATTCTAGGTACCTATTGTAAGCGGGATCATATGTATACTTTTATATCTGGCTTATTTAGGGTGATGTCTTCAAGATTCATCCATGTTGTAGTGTGTATCAGAATTTCATTGCTTTGTAAGGCTGAATAATAATTCCATTTTATGTATATATCACATTTTGTTTATCCATTTGTCAGTGGACACAGGTTGTTCCACCTTTTGGCTATTGTGAATAATGCCACCATAAATGTTGCTGTACAAATAGCTGCTCAAGTCTTTCCTTTTTTGTGTATATATACAGAAGTGGAGTTGTTGGATAAAATGGTAATTCAGTTTTTAAATGTTTGAGGAACCTTCATATTAGCCTGGCTTGGTTTTGCTTTCAGCCTCTAAACTCTTAGGTACTTTCCAGTATTTTCTTTTTCTTTTTCTTTTTCTTTTCTTTTCTTTTTTTTTTTTTGAGATGGAGTCTTCTTGCTCTTGTTTCCCAGGCTGGAGTGCAATGGCATGACCTCAGCTCACTGCAACCTCCGTCTCCCAGGTTCAAGCTATTCTCCTGCCTCAGCCTCCTGAGTAGCTGGGATTACAGGCATGCACCACCACGCTGGGCTAATTTTTGTATTTTTGTTAAAGACAGAGTTTCTCCATGTTGGTCAGGCTGGTCTCGATCTCCTGACCTCAGGTGATCTGCCCACCTCAGCCTACCAAAGTTTTGGGATTACAGGCGTGAGCCACCGCGCCTGGCCCACTTTTCAGTATTTTCCTTAAAAAAAAAAAAAAAAAAAAAATGAGGGCTGGGCGTGGTGGCTCATGCCTGTAATCCCAGCACTTTGGGAGGCCGAGGCGGGTGGATCACAAGGTCAAGAGTTCAAGACCAGCCTGGCCAACATGTTGAAACCCTGTCTCTACTAAGAATACAAAAATTAGCCAGGCGTGGTGGTGCGTGCCTGTAATCCCAGCTAGTTGGGAGGCTGAGGCAGGAGAATCGCTTGAACCCGGGAGGCAGAGATTGCAGTTAGCCGAGATCATGCCACTGCACTCCAGCCTGGGCAAAAAAGCATGACTCCATCTCAGAAAAAAAATTAATAAATAAAAATAAAAATAATTTTTTTAATCTGATAAAGCCAGACACTTCTGTAGCCTGAGAGGGGCAGGCAAATGGGGTGGAAATTTAGTCCCTGGGCACCCACTCTAATTAGGAAATGTCATGGGAGACCCTTCCCACAAGAAACTGGGACCCCAAAGAGCTACACCCTCAGAGTAAAAGTGAACCAGAACTAAACTTACCATGGGGGGTTGTGGAAAGGGCAGCGTTGGCACTGAGCAGAATAGGAGAAGAAAAAGACGGGAGGGAAAATACAGTATTGACAACTTGTGGTCACAGAAAGGCCCACATGTGAATTTGCCCCCTGGACATACATACTCAGGGTAGACCGGGAAACATCATACCATGAATTTGGTTTGAGGCAGACTCACCTGTTATAGCTCGAGGTGCCTGGCAAAAACAAATGAAATGCCTCTGGAGGAAAGCATATTCTAGGATGCTAGGAGCCAACTAAAAATAAATTTCTAAGGGCAATGACCAGCACATAGTCAAATATATTCTAGCATACCCGGAAACAGCACAGCATGAGTGAGGACCAGCAATAGACCATGGACATGAATCTGAACAGAATTGCAGTAGTAGAATTATCAGACGTTGATTATAAACTCAATTCCACTTTTTAAAATATATTTTAAAAATGACAAGCTTGAAAGCATCTTAAGAAACCCGAAAACTATAATAAGTAACACAGAAATTTTGAAAAGGGACCAGATAGAACTTCTAGAAATAACAGGTAACTGAAATTAAAAAATCCAGTGAACATATTTGGTATCAGCAGAAGAAAGAATCAACCAGAGGACAAACCAGAAGAAAGAAAAAAAAAAAAAGCATAATCCATTTGATAAATGTTAGCATCTTGAAGAGAATGCCCAAATGCTAGGCAGTTAAATTATGATCTTAATAAGAAAGGCGTTTGAGGGGCAGAGGGTTGGTGCAAGAGCTTCGAGATACAGCGAAGAGTTAACCACCTGCTCTTCTCAAGTGCAAAGCCACATTGGCTGTTTTATATATGAACACATACAAATGCATAATCAAACTGCAAGCAAGGTGTACTTTAACTATAGGGGGTGGGAATTAAGCAGCCCAGTGGAGTGTAACTCAATTACCATTCACAGGGCAATTCTATCACTGTTTAAGAGGACTTGGGTGCAGTGTGGATAGCAGCCGCCACATCATCATTTTACACAAAGGAGTGTAAAAATAGGTTGTGAATCATGAAATGGCCTTTTGTTTCGCTACCCTTGGCATATCTTCCTTGATGGGCCGATGTATCAGTCATAGATGCTTGAGCAGTGAGAGAATTTCTAGTTATGAATACAGACTGAACTGCAAGGGGCCACACAGGAGAGAGGCCCGATGATGAATTTGTTTGTTCAGTTCTTAACAAGGGATTCAAGTACCTCTTTGTGAACCTTTCACTCAGGAGCACAGGCTTTAAAATTTTTACCGAGATTTTTGTGTGGATTTTCCTCCCTTTTCCTCCCTCAACCCCACCCCAATGATAGCATCAAGTAGAAAACAATACTGTTTTTTTTTTTTTCTAGCTTCTAAATGCAAATTAGACTGATATTTTTCCACTGGTACCTCTATGTATTTTCAGATCTGTTACTTCCATTAAGGACATTTACATAAAAGTAGGATCTTTGTAATTGCAGTTTAAATATTCAGTGTGCTTGGTCCTCATTAGAATTCAAAATAGAGCCTTGTCTGAGTCTGACAGAGGGCGCCAATTGTGAAAGACCAGACTAAGAATTCTGAATGACTCGGGTGGATGTACAGTCTTGCTTCTCAGCATATTGACTATTACGTAATGTTGTCTAAGCACGTTTATTGTGATTTTAGTAGTGTTTCAGTGATGTGGTTAGAAATCAACCCAGCTGACATTGCATTAATGCTGTCTCAATCGACGACCATTGGATCTGCCTTCAGCTCATCTGAATGTGATCTTCTTAGGGAGGTGGGGCAGGACCCTGGTTAAGAGTAGTAGCATGCAGCACAGGTGTGGCGTCCGACAGTCCTGGGGCACAATTTGGGATCTGCCACTTACAGCCTGGGTGACTTAGAGAGCTGCTTGCCCTCTCTAAGTCTCAGTTCCCTTCACTCTAAAAGGAGGATAGCAATTAGTAGTACATGTGATTGTTCTGTAGACTAAGTGAGAACAGTTAGGTGGCACAATGACTAGTACTAGTGAGTCCTTTATAAATGCCAGCTATGATAAGATGTGGGGTTTAATTCATTTTTGTTTTTTGAGATGGAGTCTTGCTCTTTCGCCCAGGCTGGAGTGCAATGGTGTGATCTCGGCTCACTGCAACCTCCGCCTCCTGAGTTCAAGTGATTCTCCTGCCTCAGCCTCCCAATTAGCTGGGATTACAGGTGTGTATCACCATGCCTGGCTAATTTTAGTATTTTTTAGTAGAGACGGGGTTTCACCATGTTGCTTAGGCTGGCCTCAACCCCCCAGCCTCAAGTGATTGCCTGCCTCAGCCTCCCAAAGTGTTGGGATTACAGGTGTGAGCCACCGCACCTGGCTTGCTTTTTTTCTTTTTTCTTTCTTTTTTTTTTTTTTTTTTTTTTTTGGTACAGGGTCTGTCTGGTCTGTCATCCTGGCTGGAGTGCAGTGGCACTCACTGCAACCTCCACCTCCCAGGCTTAAGTGAGCCTCCCACCTGAGCCTGCTGAGTACCTGGGACTACAGGCACTCGCCGTCATGCCTGGCTAATTTTTATTTTATTTTTTATAGACAGGATTTCACCATGTTGCCCAGGCTGGTCTCAAACTCCTGGACTCAAGCGATCTGCCTGCCTCAGCCTCCCAAAGTGCTGGGATTACAGATGTATGACACTGTGCCTGACCAACATGCTTTTTATCATATTAGCTCTTTTGAACCTTATAAAACATAGGTAAGAAACTGAGTTCTAAGTAGTCTTGTTTATTTAACAGACTTTAGAGCTACTTTTGTCTCTCAGAGAATTATTTTTAATCTTTTACCACAAGAATAAGCAATTAATCTGGAACAAAGAAGGAACTATGCCAGTTCCTTTATTTATCATGCTGTTTATCAAGAATATTTCTATCTGGCTATTGTTTTTACTTCTTCTTTCCCTTATCATGGTTCATTGAGGTAAGCTAGTTAAATCTCTTGGCCCCTTTTTCTTTACATTCTTGTGTGTCTGTCTCTGTACCCGCTGTGTCATCCTTAATTCAGTATCAATGGAGAAATGCCTTGTCCTTCATCAGTGCCTATCTGCCTTCAAAACCATCTTGTCCTCAAGTTTTCCCATTCATCTGTTCTCTTCTTCATCCATGCCAGCACAGATAGTGGATATCATCTGTGTGCCAGGTACTGGGCTAGGAACTGGAGCTAAAAATGTAGATAGGACTGGGCACAGTGGCTCACGCCTATAGTCCCAGCTACTTGGGAGGCTGGGATGGGAGGATCCCTTGAACCTAGGAGTTCAACGTTGCGGTGAGCTATGATTGTGCCACTGCACTTCAGCCTGGGCAGTGATGAGATCCTGTTTCTTTAAAAAAAAAAAAAAAGGGTAAAAGGTAGATAGGACTTAAGAGTATAGGAGAGAGGGGACACATGCTGTAAATCACTAATGACTGCAGGTAGTACAGACGGGTCTGAGTCAGCCAAGGGCTCAGAGGTTTCCAAGAGGCTGCAACACAGGAGCAGAGGTCTGAAGAATTAGTAAGACAAGCTGCTTCTGAGTTTGGTAAGTGAAAAGCCAAACCAAAATAAGCAGGGAGTATATATACTATGGTCCCACTTAAGGAAAAGGAGGGAGGGAGGACGGAAAGAAAAGGAGGAGAGAGACCTGCATGTGCAGTGTTGGTTAGAGTCTGAAGAGAGGTGTGGAGGGGCACGTGGTCACCATTGGTGATGTGGGAATGGCAGGACATGGGTAAGGCAGGGGGCTGGGTGTTGGGATCATCAATGTTTTCTTTTGTTTGTTTGTTTGTTTTTGAGATGGAGTCTCGCTCTGTCACCCAGGCTGGAGTAGAGTGGCTCAGTGCAAGCTATGCTTCCTGGGTTCATGCCATTCTCCTGCCTCAACCTTCCGAGTAGCTGGGACTGCAGGCACCCCCCACCAGGCCTGGCTAATGTTTTGTATTTTTAGTAGAGACGGAGTTTCACTGTGTTAGCCAGGATGGTCTCGATCTCCTGACCTCGTGATTGGCCCTCCTCGGCCTCCCAAAGTGCTGGGATTACAGGCGTGAGCCACCATGCCTGGCCCATCAATGTTTTCTTTCTATGTCTTCAGAATATATTACAGTAAGCCTGTATTACTTTTGTAATTTAAAAGTTAAGTAGAATTTTTAGGGAAAAATACTTATTTGCCTAATGTTTTATTACTCCCAGTCATCTTTTCTGCAAGTAATTTTTTACAAGATTATGATAATACTGTATTTTTAAATCCTTCTTTTGGCTGGGCATGGTGGCTCACACCTATAATCCCAACTCTTTGGGAAGCTGAGGCAGGTGGATCACCTGAAGTCAGGAGTTCGAGACCAGCCTGACCAACATGGCAAAAACCCCGTCTGTACTAAAAATACAAAAATTAGCCAGGCCTAATGGCAGGTGCCTGTAATCCCAGCTATTAGGGAGGCTGAGGCAGGAGAATTGCTTGAACCCAGAAGGTGGAGGTTGCAGTGAGCCGAGATCCTACCACTGCACTCCAGCCTGGGCGACAGAGCAAGACTGTGTCTCAACAACAACAACAACAAACCTTCTGTTTTTTAACATTATGCTATATTTTACTTCTAATGGTGAGTACCATTTTATCAAGTAGCAATACCATCATTTACTTCTGTGTTCCTGGTTTGGGGGCCTTAGTTTATTCCCACATTTTGCTGTGTAAATCATGCTACATGAAATGCATAGCACTTTTTTCGATATTTAGGATCTTTTTCTCTCAGGTAGGATTTCCATTAGGATACTCCCAGGAACCAGAATCAGAGGCAGACTCTGGCTGCCTTATAACCATGGGGCCCTGACTGGAGGGTTATTTGAGGCCCAGATAAGTGACAGCTGCAGGGCCAGAGGACAGAGCAGCTGTCCTTGGCAAGAAGGTTGTGATCTGGATGGTGAGGCCAGAGTTGCTGAACACGTGGGTGCCTCTGCCTCTCTTAAGGGAGTCTGAGGAAGAATCTGGTGGCTTTGACATCCTCAATGGGAAGTGAGAAGCCGCCCCCTACCAAGAGGTCATGTAACAGGAGCACCTTCAAAACAGAAACAAAACTTGGATCTGGACAGGGAAAAAAAGCAAAACCAAAAAAAAAAAAACAAAAAAAACAAAAACCCACATTGTCCATTACAGATGTGTTTCCCAAGTAGATTTGTTCAGCCTCAGGGTGCAAACAGTGTTAAGCCTTTTGATATATATTTCCAAGTTATTTTCCAGTAAAGTATCAGAAACCATCCCCCACCCCAACCTTATTAGTGGCAGATTCTTGCTGAAATCCAGTGCTTCTCATCAGCCCTCATTCTCCTGGAATAACTTCTCATATTTGAGATGGTTCTCTCTGGCAGAAATAGCTCTTCTTCCTTGACTTCTGTGACCCAGCATTATGTCAAGATTTATCCCGCCACATCAGTTGCTCATTCCTTCCCTTCCTTTTTTCTGTTATCATTTATTGAACACCACTGAGGATAAAATGAAGGAGTCCTGGTCCCTGACCTCATGGAGGGCTCAATCAAATGGGAAGGCAGCAGACTCAGAGCAATGTGATAGTGGTGCAGGGGACACTGTGACAGGCATCTCTTGGGCATTTGGGGCAACTCTTGGGCTTATTTTTTGGCTTTTTAAAAGATTTTTGTTTGTATATAGTTACAGACTGCAAGTGCAGACTTCTTACATACGTATATAGCATAGTGGTGAAGCGTGGGCCCGAGCTCATTCGAGAAAGGTGAATAGAAATGTAACGCAGGCCGGGTGCGATGGCTCACACTTGTAATCCCAGCACTTTGGAAGGCCAAGGTGGGCAGATCACGAGGTCAGGAGTTCAAGACCAGCCTGGCCAACATTGTGAAACCCCATCTCTACTAAAAATACACAAATTAGCCAGGCATGGCGGTACATGCCTGTAGTCCCAGCTACCCAGGAGGCTGAGGCAGGAGAATCACTTGAACCCGGGAGGCGGAGGTTGCAGTGAGCCTAGATCATGCCACTGCACTCCTGCCTGGGGAACAAAGTGAGACTCTGTTTCAAAAAACAAACAAACAAAAATGTAACACAGGCAGAGAGGAGAAAATAGCATTCCAGGCAGTGGGAAATAGATTCGAAGAAGGCATTGACAGCACCAGGTTTCTCTAAGACATAGCCTGTCTGGCTGGGATCAAGGCTGCTTGCTGAGAGGCGTGGAAAATGAAGCTAGGCAGGCTGGGACCAGATCATGGAACCTATGGTGATTGTTTTGTTCTCCATGGCCTCTCATTTTTTCCCTCTTCCTCTGTCTCTCTCTCTTTTTGTTTTTGTTTTTTTCCAAGACAGAGTCTCGCTCTGTTGCCCAGGCTGGAGATCAATAGTGTGATCTCAGCTCACTGCAACCTCCATCTCCTGGGTTCAAACGATTCTCCTGCCTCAGCCTCCTGAGTAGCTGGGGTTACAGGTGCACACCACCATGCCTGGCTACTTTTTTGTATTTTTAATAGAGACAGGGTTTCACCCTGTTGGTCAGGCTGGTCTCGAACTCCTAACCTCATGTTCCGCCCACCTCGGCCTCCCGAAGTGCTGGGATTACAGGCGTGAGCCACCTCACGTGGCCCCCCTGTCTTTTGAGGACAATACTTAAGGCTCAGTCCTCTGCTCTCTTTTCCTTGATAACTTTTCTTTAAACCACTTCATCTGCTTTTTTAATTTAACTTCATGGGTAACTCACAGTTCCACATCTCAGACCCAAACCTCACTTGAATCCCAAGTCTGTGTCTTCATTAGCTACCAGCTAGCTAGTTTCTCTTGATTGCCTGCAACACCTTTTCCATGTCTACATGTTCTTTGTCCCAAAATAAGCTTCCTCTTCCATGCTTCCTATTTTTTCAGGCCCCAAACTTCCTTCATCTCTTCAAATGCCTTCAAGGGCCAGACAGGGAAACCTTCCTGCATTAAGTGGGCAGCTGGGATTATCTCCAGTGGCAAACTAGAGCCGTCAACGGCAGATTTTTACTAAGTGGGAATGCAAGCTGAGAATTCCTACATCATCTGTTTATTTGTTTAAGAGAAGCCTGAAATCTGGATCTCTAAGTGAAATGTCCCAATATTTTAATGTTGACAATAAATTCACATAAAAAAAATACCATGTGGGCCAAATAAAACATGTCACAATATACTACTTTGGGATCTCTCTTTCTCATATCTATCTAGGCAGACGCCAGGCCTGTTTGTTCTAACTCTGAACTCTCTTTTCTCTTCATTACTTTCTCTTCTCCTCATCACTTTCTCTTCTCCTCATCACTTTCTCTTCTCCTCATCCTATTTCTGGCTCTTTGTCCCAATTAGGTAGTCATTTAAAATAATAATGAAATCTATTTATTAGTACAGAAAAATGTAAAAGACTGTAACTTTGACCATATTTATATAAACTGCAACCCCCAGAGGGTTATAGTATAATAATATATCAAATACCGGCCAGGCGCGGTAGCTCATGCCTGTAATCTCAGCTCTTTGGGAGGCCGAGGCGGGTGGATCACCTGAGGTCAAGAGTTTGAGACCAGCCTGGCCACCATGGTGGAACCCCATCTCTACTAAAAATACAAAAAAAATTAGCTGAGCGTGGTGGTGGGCACCTGTAATCCCAGCTACTCAGGAGGCTGAGGCAGGAGAATCGCTTGAACCCAGGAGGCAGAGGTTGCAGTGAGCCAAGATCGCGCCGCTGCCCTCCAGCCTGGGCAACAAGAGCAAAAAACTGTCTCAAAAAAAAATATAAACAACAATAATAATAACATAGCAAATATCTACCTAGCTATCATTATTACAAAGATAAATAAGGCAGGTCCCTCTTCTTAAGTTGTTCTTATTATTATTTTTAAACATGTCTTCTTCAATCAGTTTAAACTGTTCCCCTCCCCAGACATACCTGGAGTATTTTCAATAAATGACTTCTCCATCATGAAGATAATATATACTAAGTAGTGAAATGGTATAGTATAAAGCTCTTAGGAGACCTGCTTCTGTAATCTAAGAGAATACTGTGGCACTTTGATGAATATATTGGCATTGCTGGATATTCATTTCAGGAGCTAAAATGTATGACTCGCTGACCTTTCTTTCTCTTGGTGCCCTGAAAGATTCACTCTATCCTGTACCCTGCGATTGCTCATGGGGTTTGGATAATGCGCGTGTTAAGTGTTTGTGGTCAGAATATCGTTTATATGTGACCACATCAATGTTGTCTGCTTTGATTTTGAGTTCCTACTGTGGAAAAGCCTGTTTTTCTGCTAACAGCATTTATTTGGGGAGTGGGAATAGGAGCAGTAAGTTCAAACGTTGACGCTTCAGCTTAATCCAGGCAAATTGAAGCCTTTGAGAGAAGTGCAAAATTGGAAAACCTTTATTTATAATAGAAGGTGGTTGATAGGGACTGACAGGCTCAGAGCTATCACCGTGACCACCTCAGAGACCTCCACACTCTTTGTAATCTGTTAGAAGGCAGTGATTTTTGCAATCATCAAGGGGTCAGAAATGATCACAGAGTAGAATCTTTTTTTGATTATTGTTTTTGCTTGGTGTGGTTTGGAAAGATAAGGTATGATTTCTAAGAGTGGTTTCTGTTCTTATTGAGTAATAATTACACCGTGTGGGCCTTGATTGATGATATGACTGATGTACGTGTACATGTTTGTACGCGTTTTCTGGTAGTGTTTGCTTACCAATTAATTCATCTGTTTTCACCCACCTGCTGGGACCAGCAAATGAGGGCTGGGTTTAGAAGTACAGTCAGTTGTCCTGGGACAGACTTAGTTTTGCATACTCAAAGTATGCTTTCCCGACACTATTTGTCTACCTACTTATGGGAGAAATAGAATCCCAATACCTGCTGAATATATTTTGTGAACCCAGCCTAACTCATCAGTTCTCATTACACTCAAGTGCTCACTATTTATATATAGATTTTTCTTTTATATCCGTAAATTGAAATGAAATGAAGAATTGGATTCTAGTTGGGACTGAATTTACCAAAGCTGGCTAAGCCTGGGTCGGGAGAGAAGAGGCAAAATCACTTTATGTCTTTTCACATGTAAAATCAATGATCCCTGGCCTCAGATGGTTAATTTTACATTATATGTATTTTGCCACTGGATGGTCTTTGAGGTTCCATCCAACTCTGTCATCCTCTTTCCATACTCCTTTGAAGAGAATTAACCACCACACTGTATACACACGTGCACTCACACTAAATCAGTTATGAGCTAGGGGAATAGGCAAGACCTTTGCTGATCCTCTCCTATCATACAGGGTGGCCGCATCAAGTTAAATACATGCAGAGTTAAATCATACCTGAATAGAGACTTTTACCTTCAGTGTGTTTTTATTATTTGAATTTTTTTTTCAAACATATATAGTTTTTCTCATTGGAACAAAACAAGAAAGAGATTATTTATTTATTTATTTATTTATTTTTTTTTTTTTTTGAGACGGAGTCTCACTCTGTCGCCCAGGCTCCAGGCTGGAGTGCAGTGGCACAATCTCAGCTCACTGCAAGCTCCGCCTCCTGAGTTCACGCCATTCTCCTGCCTCAACCTCCCTAGTAGCTGGGACTACAGGCGCCCGCCACCACGCCTGGCTAACTTTTTTGTGTTTTGTTTAGTAGAGACGGGGTTTCACCATGTTAGCCAGTCTGGTCTTAGACTCCTGTCCTCGTGATACGCCCACCTCGGCCTCCCAAAGTACTGGGATTATAGGTGTGAGCCACCGCGCCCAGCCAGAGAGAGAATTTTTAATGGAAGATAAGGAGAAGATTTGGCAGGTTTTAGTATGTATTAGGGCAGGAAAATAAAGGAATAGAATTACAGAGAATCTTTACTTCTGGGTTCTGTGTTCAAAAGTAATTGGTAGATAGAGATTCCTTATGTTTTTCTCCCAAGTTGGCATTATAGCTCTAGGGCTGTTTTTAATTACATGTTTGTTTGTTTGTTGAGACAGAGTCTCACACTGTCATGCAGGCCCGAGTACAGTGGTACGATCTCACTGCAACCTCCGCCTCCCTGGTTCAAGCGATTCTTATGCTTCAGCCTCCTGAGAAGCTGGGATTACAGGCATGGGCCAACACCCCGGCTAATTTTTGTATTTTTAGTAGAGACGGGGTTTCACCATGGTGGCCAGGCTGATCTTGAACTCCTGACCTCAAGTGATCTGCCCACTTCAGCCTCCCAAGGTGCTGGGATTACAGGCATGAGCCACTGCGTCCAGCCTAGTTACATGTTTAAAAGTGAGCTGGTAGACACTTTAAATTTTTTGAATAAGTTCCCTAAAATTGATGTTTTGGGTACAGATTTGATGCCTTTCCTTTCTTTAAAACTGTAACTATAAAATGAATCAAATGGAGGCGTGCGTGGTTTGTAGGGTTATTAAAGTCACAGTTAATCACACATGGATTATCTTCTTTGGATATTGTCTAAATGGAAATTCAAATATCAGATTACCTTCCTGACTTTCTGGTGCTTGCCACTCTGTTTAAGAGGCATCCAGCTCCTGCCAGTTATTGGTGCGTGCTCAGAGAATGAGACACAGTTTTGCTTTCATGTTAGTTGTGACATCTAACGTTGCTTACAAGAAACAATCACTGTTAAAAGTTGAATGGAACTAAACAAAATTAAAGATGGAATTGTAATATTTTTAGAAATTATAATAATTAATACCTTGCTGCACTAATTAGTAATTCTGTACAAAGCATCTCTGTTGGCCACATTGATTGTTCTGTCCGTGAGTAAATCCCTACTCCTGCTGCTCTTCACCCTGGAGCATACATTATGGTGGTACCCATGTGAAGAGAGCAGCTCAACTGCAAAGCAACGCCTGCAGTCCAGAGACTCTGCCCTTGTGACTTATCTAATCTAATGCAGTAGACGCCCACTTGAAGCTGCACATGTTTGAATGAAGCAAGAGAGGTTGGGTAATTTAAAGGAATCTGTGGTATTTAGAAAATAAATAGATAATTCTCCTTTGCCAAGTCCCTTGGAAATTCAGTGGCATAAGCCCTGGTATTAGCTTTTAAATAACTTAACTCCAGATGTTGCATTAATAATTTTTTTTTCTTTAATCAGCTCTAGGGATCCATTAATTGACTCCAACAGAACCTTACCAATGACTCGGTATTTATTTTTTGGCTCACCTTTCCTTTCTATTTCAGAGCCAGGCAATGACAATTTTCAGTCATTGAACCAGCGTTAAATTCCTTAGAATAATTGATTTGGGGTTCATTTTTAAATCACTGTTGACTTTTTCTGCCCATGAGTCTGAACACGAAGGTCAATTTCTCTGGACTAGCAGCAAATTGATCTTTGTATTGAAGTTGGGTATCAGCTGTCAGGGACCTGTAGCCGGCACCGCGGGTCTCACTGGGTTACTTTCTGCAGCTCTGGAGCTGACTGCTGAGCGCTGGGTGCTCAGCCGTGACTCAGTCAGGCATGCATCTCAGTTGTCCTTGAGAGAGTGCATGTCTACCGAGCAGCCTCCAAATGTTCTTTGACACTTTGATTCACGCTCGAAACAGCCCGTATTTCTCTTTTGGCCCTTAAAACGGTCGTTGCTTTCAAAATGACTTTTGGATTTCTACAGTCTTTTTTTTTTTTTTTTTAACACTAATAAATATTTTTTTTCTTGCAGACAGGGAATTAAGATTTTTCACCATTTTGTTGATATTTTGGCTGGTATAACTTATCTGGAAGGAAAACAGAAAAGGGTTCTTTTGAAAGTGAGTAAATATAGTAGAGATGGTAGCTCAACACTGTAATCCCAGCACTTTGGGAGGCCGAGGCAGGCAGATCACCTGAGGTCAGGAGTTCGAGACCAGCCTGGCCAACATGGTGAAACCTCATCTCTACTAAAAATAACAAAAATGAGCTGGGCGTGGTGGTGCACGACTGTAATCCCAGCTACTCGGGAGGCTGAGGCAGGAGAATCGCTTGAACCCGGGAGGCAGAGGTTGCAGTGAGCTGCGATGGCACCACTGCACTCCAGCCTGGGCTACAAGAGTGAGACTCTGACTCAAAAAAAAAAAAAAAAAAAAAAAAGACGGTTAATTTTACATTATATGTATTTTGCCCACAATAGAAAGTTTTTAATTTAAAAAATGAAGAAATACTTGGTGTTCCCCCTTTCCATTAAATTATGGCAAGGTTAAAATAGTGTAATTTCAAAATTCCTTGGCATCTTCAAAATATTGTGCCATCCTGTTCCGTATGTCAGGCTCAGGAAACAATACCTCAAAAAATGGCCCTTTGACACGCGGAACTAAAGACACCTCAGGGGCTCTTTAACCTTCTCCCCACTCCTGTCCCTCAATCCTCTGTCCCTCCCAAAGCACAGAATGAGGCTCTTCTCTGAAGCTCCCTTATCTGCCTGGAAACAGGACCCACCAAAGAGAAATAAAATCACCTTTGATCCCTTCCCTGAAATTTCATTAACCAGAGAAAATTAAAACTCCTATCACAGTCCAGGCACGGTGGCTCACACCTGTAATCCCAGCACTTCGGGAGGCCAAGGCGGGCGGATCACGAGCTCAGGAGATCGAGACCATCCTGGCTAACACGGTGAAACCCTGTCTCTACTAAAAATACAAAAATATTAGCCGGGCATGGTGGTCGGCGCTTGTAGTCCCAGCTATTTGGGAGGCTGAGGCGGGAGAATGGCATGAACGTGGGAGGCGGAGCTTGCAGTGAGCCGAGATTGCACCACTGCACTCCAGCCTGGGCGACAGAGCAAGACTCTGTCCCAAAAAAAAAAAAAAAAAAAAAATATGTCTCAGCATTGTGGAATACCAGGAAAACTCTTAAGTTTGTGGGTGATGGGAGTTCAGAGGAGCCCTTCAAGGGATTTCTCTTTGGGGATTTCAGGCTCTCTATTCAACCTTTCTTCCCAGGGCCAGTGTGTTTATCTTGAAGGTGATAACTTCCACAGAGAGTAATACCTCTTTTCCTGCGTATTAACGCCCAAAGTCAGGCTCAAGAGCCTTAGTTCCACCTGAGGTCAGGAGTTCAATACCAGCCTGGCCAACATGTTGAAACCCCATCTCTACTAAAATTACAAAAATTAGCCAGGCGTGGTGGCAGGCGCCTGTAATCCCAGCTATTTGGGAGGCTGAGGCAGAAGGATCTCTTGAACCCGGGAGATGGAGGTTGCAGTGAGCCAAGATTGCGCCATTGCACTCCAGCCTGGGCAACAAGAGCAAAACTCCATCTCAAAAAAAAAAAGAAAAAAAAAAGCCTTAGTTCCACTGAGAGGATGCTGGATATAATCCCACCCAGGTTTCCCTGTAGCACTGGTGACCCCCAAGGGGCTGGGGACTATTACATGTAAGCCAATCAAATACAGCCATAATGTTCCCATCCTTAAATCACATCTCCTGCCCTGGGGTATTGGGTGCTCCCGGAGTTTCCTGTACTCATCCTCACTTCTCTCTTTGTAATCTTTTCCCCCTACTCTCTCCTTTCCTGTTTTCTCTCAGTTCCAGTCTTCCTCCCTTAATTACTGTCCTCTCTATTTATCATCTTGGTCAAGAATATGCCTTTTAAAGGCCTCATGCCCAAGCTGCATCCCACCCTTCAGCCAGCATTCCTAGCACCCTGCCATCCTCCGGTTTCTTTTGTGTGGCCTCACCAGCCGCTTTCTCTCCTCAATGTGTCACCGAACATGGGGCCATCTGGAAGTGTGTTTAGAAGATAACGGAGCACAGGAATAGTCCCAAGAAGTGCATTTAAAAACTGTTACTGTGTAATAACTTTATGATACATTCTGCCGCATCCTCTTAAAAATACCTTTTGTATCTGTTTTCTTGTCATTTCCATTATGCCTTTTAAAGTGGGTTGAAGACCGTGAATGAACAACTGAGTGGTGTACCATGGCTGCCCTTTTGCAAAATTGAAGACCTTTTTTTCCCTTCTGTTTAGAGACAGGGTCTCGCTCAGTTGCCCAGGCTGGAGTGCAGTGGCATGGTCATACCTCTGTGCTAAGCTATCAGGAGGATCACTTGAGCCCTGGAGTTCGTCCCCTGTAGCTGAAACTACAGGTGTGCACCACCATGCCCAGCTAATTTTTTTGTTTGTTTTTTTGGTAGAGATGAAGTCTCGCTTTCTTACCTAGGCTTGTCTTGAACTCCTGGTTTCAAACGATCTACCTTGGCCTCCTGAAGTGCTGGGATTTACAGGTGTGAGCCACTGCACCTAAAAATTGAAGACTGAAGCAGCCTTCTCCCAACTTGGTTTCAGCTCCTTATTAAAAGATGTTTTTGTGTTCGGTCATCTTAGCAGCATGCAAACCAGTTTTCTTATTTTTGTAGCAGTCAAACTTTACAGAGAGGGCTGTTGTGCACTTAGCTACTTATTCTGGAAACTAATGGAAATCCTCTTGAATTTGGGACTTCACATTAGAGAAACTGTCATCTTCTAGAGATGTATGACTTTGTCAATAAAACAATTGAAATCAGTTTGTACTTTTGCAATCATAACCATAGATGAGGCATTGCGCCCTTCACTCTTTCTGAAAATTAAGACTTCTGGAGTATTTAAAAATTTTAATTTTTTATATTTTATTTTATTTTATTTTTTTGAGACAGAGTCTCACTCTGTTGTCCAGCTGGAATGAAATGACATGATCACAGCTCCCTGCAGCCTCAACCTCCTGGGCACAAGAGATCCTCTGGCTTCAGCCCCCTAAGTAGCTGGGACTACAGGTGCACACCACCATACTCAGCTACTTTTTGTATTTTTTGTAGAGATGGAGTTTTCTACAAAACCACAGGCTAGGCTGTTCTCAAACTCCTGAGCTCAGGTGATCCACCTTGCCTTGGCCTCCCAAAGTGCTGGGATTACAGGCGTGAGCCACCGTGCCTGGCCAGTCTTTTTTTCTTCTTATTTTTTAAATCCCTCAGAGAGGTTCCGTCAGTTGGGAGCCAATCAGGAAAAAGAATAACCATACTAGGTATTTCACTCAGAGGAGACAGAATGCAAACAACTTGTTAGAATACTGTTAGAAGGGCCGGGCGCAGTGGCTCACGCCTATAATCCCAACATTTGGGGAGGCCAAGGCAGGCAGATCACCTGAGATCAGGAGTTTGAGACCGCCAGCCTGGCCAACATGGCGAAACCCCGTCTCTAAAAATACAAAAATTAGCCAGGCATGGTGGCACATGCCTGTAATCCCAGCTACTCAGGAGGCTGAGGCAGGAGAATTGCTTGAACCTGGGAGGCGGAGGTTGCAGTGAGTTGAGATCATGCCACTGCACTTCAGCCGGGGTGACAGAGCAAGACTTTGCCTAAAAAAAAAAAAAAAAAAAAAAAAAACTGTTAAAAGGATGGAGAGAATGAAAAGGGGAAGGTGCAGTAATCCAGAAATTAGTCCTTGTGTGAAGCAGCTGCCACCCTTAAGCCTAGGAGAGCAAAGATGCAAATGCGCTGCTGCACACCACAGTACTCCTGGGATTGCCGCTCAGCCAGTGCTAGAGATGCCTAGGACCTGGCCCCTGGGCTGCAGCAGAAGCAGGCCTGCCTTGCTCGTTCTGGGACTGCCAAAGAGAGGCTGCCACTGCCATGGGGAACACTGTTAGAATACAGACACTTGCAGAGATGCTGCCAGAAGCAGATGGGGAAAGAGAGGAAGAGGAACAGCCTCACCCCTCTTCTTGCTTTCTGAACTCCTGACAGTGCCTTATTTTGGCAGAACATAACAGGAAGCCAGCTGGCAGGGGAGCCTGGGAAGGGTAGTTCACAGACTCCAAGCCCCAGCATGACTGAGCAGAGAAGGGCAGGTGTGGAGCTGGCAGACACCAGGTCATACCTGGCATATAGGCAGCTTACATGGGCACCACTGAGATGTGCAACATATATTCTCCTGACAATCATCTGACATGTTTTTCCAGCCTTCGATGTTTCTTTCAGAATTATTGGGTTCTTCGTGGACCTGTTGAACTGAAAAAGGTTTTTATGTATTCTCATGGACCATTTGGTTAGAGCTATTCTTAAAGTCATGCCAAACAGTGAATTTCTGCAAACCCCAAAATGCAGACATTGTTTTAATAGAAGAAACAGTATTGTCACACTGAGCTACTGGAAGGAACGATGCTATTTCTACTGCTTGACAAATGGACCTACCACCTACATATTAAGTAATTTTAGATGTGAACAAATGTAGAACAACTGAACTTAATGTCTTCTAGTTAAGTTGGCTTACATCCCTCAGCTACTTCCTTTCTTTCTCTCTGTAAAAGAAGGAACTGAGAGGTGGTCTGTGAAAAAAAGCAATGAATGGGAAGGATCAGTGGTCACTCCTGGCAGTTTCAAAGTTGAAGAGATGGGCTGGGCCTGGTGGCTTTTGCCTGTAATCCCAGCACTTTGGAGGGCTGAAGTGAGCGGATTGCTAGACCCCAGGAGTTCAAGACCAGCCTAGTCAAAATAGCGAGACCCTGTCTCTACAAAAGTTTTTAAAAATTAGCTAGGTGGCCGGGTGCAGTGGCTCACGCCTGTAATCCCAGCACTTTGGGAGGCTGAGGCGGGCAGATCACGAGGTCAGAAGTTCGAGACCAGCCTGACCAACATGGTGAAATCCCATCTCTACTAAAAATACAAAAATTAGCCAGGAGTGGTGGAGCGCGCCTGTAATCCCAGCTACTCGGGAGGCGAGAGGCTGAGGCAGGAGAATCGCTTGAACTCGGGAGGCGGAGGTTGCAGTGAGCCGAGATTGCGCCATTGCACTCCAGCCTGGGCGACAGAATGAGACTCCGTCTCAAAAAAAAAAAAAAAAAAAATTGCTAGGTGTGGTGGTGCATGCCTGTAGTCCCAGCTATTCAGGAGACAGGCGAGAGGAGATTGCTTGAGCCCAGGAGGTCAAGGCTGCAGTGAGCTGTGATTGTGCCACTGCATTCCAGCCTGGGTGACAGGGTGAGACCATGTCTCAAAAAAAAAAAAAAAAAAAAGTTCCACAAAGTAGAACCAAAAGACACAGGAAGATATCAAAATTAGAGGATCCATCCAAGATCGAAAGAGTAGGAATGCCACAATGAGAAAACAACAGTCAACAAATTACCAAAGGAAATAATGCCAGAAATTTCCCAAGAACTGACAGACAGGAGTAACCATATTTATTGAAAGAGTCCATTATCAATATCCAGCTTAAGAAATGAAATAAAAAAAGACCCATGTCAAATCACAACATAATGAAATTTCAGAGCACCCAGTTAAAGAGAAGTTTCTGCCTCCCTAGGGGTGGGAGGTAGGGGACAACAGATTACTTTCAAAGGATCTGAACTTAGAATGGCATCCAATATCTCAGCAAAAACAGGGGTGGTAGTATTGCAGGAAGCTACTGACAAATATTAACCCTAGAAAGAAGATCTGGGAGGACAGAAACAAGGGAGAGAAGTAAAGACAACTCCCAGGATGACAGCAGTGGAAGGCTGCACAACAGACCAAGAGAACAGCTGTTCTAGAATAGAGAGCTAGAGCTAAGAGGGAAAATAGATGGTATGTTTTCCTGCGTGAAAAATTACACTGAGTGATTGCTGAAGGTTATGAGATTTAGTAGGAGGGATTTCAAGCAATTGAAAAAGAGAGGCAATTATTAATCCCAGGAAAACAAAAAGTAATACAGAAATGGAAGCACGATTATAGTATGTTAAGAGTAAATATGGGCCGGGCACGGTGGCTCCTGCCTGTAATCCCAGCACTTTGGGAGGCCGAGGCAGGCGGATCATGAGATTAGGAGATCAAGACCAGCCTGACCAACATGGTGAAACCCCGTCTCTACTAAAAATACAAAAATTAGCCAGGCATGTTGGCACGGGCCTGTAATCCCAACCACTCGGGAAGCCGAGGCAGGAGAATCACTTGAACCCAGAAGGTGAAGGTTGCAGTGAGCCGAGATCTCACCACCGCACTCCAGCCTGGGTGACAGAGTGAGACTCCATCTCAAAAAAAAAAAAAAAAAAAAAGTGAGACAATTATTAATTCCAGGAAAACAAAAAGTAATACAGAAATGGAAGCATGATTATAGTATGTTAAGAGTAAATACAAACATAGCCATGATAACGTAATTGTTAGATGTTTGATTTAATCAAAATATATGATTCAACTATAGGGTAGATGGGAGATTGAAGAGGTGGAGTACAAGAGAGCTAAATACTCCTATAATGAAAGAGAAGGTGACTGTGTAATATTTAAAATTGATGGAATTTAAAGATTATGGTATGGGCATATAGTTTAAAAGTGTGGAGATAAGTAACAGAAGAAACAGCCAAAATAAGTGAAAAGTGAGTGCTTTTGATGAGGAGGAAAGTCAGAAGGAGCAGGTAGAAATCACTGGTTTTTATTATAACCTTTTTTTAGGATTACTTGACTTTTTAGCTTATACATTAATCATTTTGATAAAATAGTTGTTAAAATTTTGAAGCTCTTTACATTTGTAGGTTCTGTTATATCTTGAGAAATAAACTTACAAATAGGAAAGAAAAATCTGTTAATTTAAAATACAGAGAATGTATTCAGTAAAGAAGAATGTAAGTGACTTAAATATACTTTACGCACCCTTAGTTGGATATTTTTAAGGACATTGAATTGCAGAAATCTTGAATTCTACTAAGTAGATTTATTGTTTAGAGTGATATTAGAGTAATTCTGGATCTGCTTTGTGTATTAGTTGGGGAGAGTAAGTGAGTAAATATATTGATGTTATTGGGAACTAGGGAGATAAATAGTGAATGTGAATGAGAAAAGTAATAATGATCTTTATGGTGTTTGGTTTGAATTGGAAGTATCATGGTGGGCTGCTACTTTAAGTAAATAAATACATTGCCCACTTTAACCACTGAAAGCATGTAGAAGCAGTGATACTCCTGTAGTAATGAGCACAGTTTACACCCAGTTCTTGGTTTCTAAATACTATTCACTCCCAAAAGAAACTAAGACTCTTTGCAGGAGCAACTGAGTCTAAATCTGGGACAGGAAGATAAAAGGCAAGCCTAGAACATCTTGGGTCTGAGATCAAGGAAGCGCACAAACAATGATGGGGCTATGTAAAAGAACACAGGAGCTGACTTATAGGGACTCCCACAGGTCACATTTGGGGCAGTCATGCCTGTAATCCCAGCACTTTGGGAAGCCAAAGTGTGAGGATTGCTTCAGGCCAGGAGTTTAAGGCCAGTCTGACGGTCAACATAGTCAGACCCCGTCTCTACCAAAGAAAAATTTAAAAACTAGCCTGGTGTGGTGGTGCATGCCAGTAGTCCCAGCTACCAGGGAGGCTGAGGCAGGAGGATCACTTGAGCCCAGGAGTTAAAGGCTGCAGTGAGCTTTGATCACACCACTGCACTGTTGCCTGGGCAACAGAGTAAGACCCTGAAAAAAGAGTCTGAAAAAAAAAATGGAGGCAATTGGAGCAATAAAAAGAATAACAATGTTAATGGATTATAGATACTGAACTTGAAAAATGCATCCATGAGTCCATGAGTTTGCGTATCCACAGTGATACTTAAAAAAAAGTGGGAGTAAGGGGGAGGCCGAGGCGGGTGGATCACGAGGTCAGGAGATCGAGACCATCCTGGCTAACACGGTGAAACCCCGTCTCTACTAAAAAAATACAAAAAAATTAGCCGGGCGTGATGGCGGGCGCCTGTAGTCCCAGCTACTCGGGAGGCTGAGGCAGGAGAATGGCGTGAACCCGGGAGGCTGAGGCAGGAGAATGGCGTGAACCCGGGAGGCGGAGCTTGCAGTGAGCCGAGATTGCGCCACTGCACTCCCGCCTGGGCCACAGAGCAAGACTCCGTCTCAAAAAAAAAAAAAAAAAAAGTGGGAGTAAGGATGGGGAGAGGCTCTTTCTCCCAGCTAAGATATATTAAAAAAAAAAGATAAAATTAGAAAAACAGCTTTTGCAACCACCAGTAATTGTTTCAGGATTGACCATCAATGCCAAAACTATTGGGTGAAAAGATATGGGAAGCAGGATAACCACAGTCTGAAAGTATCACCACACAGATTATTTATTAATTATTAAGGAGGAAAGACACTTGAAAAAAGTGATCAAACTTAGCATCACCAGGAGTATGACAACCTGGATTATGAAGCCCCAAGTTTTTTTTTGTTGTTTTTCTTTTTTTTTTTTTTTAGGCAGGATCTTGCTCTGTCACCCAGGCTGGAGTGCAGTGGCACAATCGTAGCTCACCGAAGCCCTCCATCTTCCAGGCTCAAACAATCCTCCTGCCTCAGCCTCCCAAGTAGCTGGGACTATAGGCGCACACCACCGTACCCAGCTAATTTTTTGTATTTTTTGTAGAGATGGGGGTCTCACCATGTTGCCCAGGCTGGTCTTGAAATCCTGAGCTCAAGTGATCCTCCCAAGTCGGCCTCCCAAAGCGCTAGGATTACAGGACACAGTACACTGCTCCAAATTTGATGCGGTATAATTAACACAACATCACCTACTGTATTTATGCCAAAAATGTTAACTTGAATGACATCAACAGACACTATAAGAGTAGTTCAGATTGATGGGTGTTCTGTGAGACAAGGAAAATATCAGGGTCATGAAGGATAGAAAAAGGATAGAAGAATTGTAGATTAAAGGAAACTAAAGAAATATGACAACTAAATACAGTTTCTGATTTTGATCGGATTCCAGATTTTAAAAACATACCCAGCTAGAAGGACATTATTGAGTAAATGAGGGACATTTGAATATGGACTGTGCATTAGATAATGTTGTATCAGTGTTAAAATTCTTCAGATTAACAATGATATGATTCTGTTGGAGAATATTCTTGTTCTTAGGAGATGCATGTTTAAGTTTTTAGAAATGAATAGGCCGGGCGCCGTGGCTCACACCTGTAATCCCAGCACTTTGGGAGGCCGAGGCGGGCAGATCACGAGGTCAGGAGTTGGAGACCAGTCAGGCCAACATAGTGAAACCCTGTCTCTACTAAAAATACAAAAAATTAGCCAGGTGTGGTGGTGCGCGCCTGTAATCCCAGCTACTTGGGAGGCTGAGGCAGGAGAAACACCTGAACCTGGGAGGCAGAGATTGCAATCCAGCCTGGGTGACAGTGTGAGACTCCGTCTCAAAAAAAAAAAAAAAAAAAAAAAGACAAGGAAATCACTACATTATTATGACATTATTACATATAACCACATTAAAAACATTCATTATTCACCATTTAACATTGGCCTATATAGATGTTCATTATACTATCTTTTCGGCTTTTCTGTCAGGTTGAAATCTTTCAACATAAACAGTTGGAGAGAAAGATGGAAAGTATAGACGATGAAGCTGCCCATGGGTTAGTGCCTTAGTTCCCATGTTAATATTTTTAATATGTCTAAGGAGTGAAGGAATGCCTGATGAAATTTCTTTCTAGGTCTGCTACTAATCAGCACTTTTATATCTCATCCTGAAAGATAGGAAGATTTTAAAAGATAAAAACATTTTAGGCTGGGTGTGGTGGCTCACGCCTGTAATCCCAGCACTTTGGGAGGCCAAGGCGGGTGGATCACCCGAGGTCAGGCATTCGAGACCAGCCTGGCCAACATGGTGAAGCCCTGTCTCTACTAAAAATACAAAAATTAGCCAGGTGTGGTGGCGGGCACCTGTAATCCCAGGTACTCAGGAGGATGAGGCAGGAGAATCACTTGAACCTGGGAGGCAGAGGTTGCAGTGAGCCGAGATCGTGCCACTGCACTCCAGCCTGGGCAACAGAGACTCCGTCTCAAAAAAAGAAAACAAAAACAAAAACAAAAAAAAAAACACTTTAGTGTGAGCAAGATGTCGCATTAGGCAAATATGATAGATGCTAACTTCTAGGGTCAATCAGAAGAGCCCAGCTACTCAGGAAAGCAACACCAACTGCTCTCATTACAGTAGTTCCCCCTTGGTCTTGCTTTCCACAGTTTCAGTTACCTGTGGTCAACCACAGTCAATCCTAAAATATTAAATGGAAAATTCCAGAAGTAAACAATTCATAAGTTTTAAATTGCATGCTGTTCTGAGAAGTGTGATGAAATCTCACGCCATCCCACCCCATCCCACCCTGGATATGAATCATCCCCTTGTCCAGCGTATCCACGCTGTATACGCGGCCCATTCATTAGTCATTACCATGATCTGCTCCTCACATCCAGCTATGGCCATCATCAGGGCTCAGTGATTCAGGATTACTCGAACCAGATGATCTTGCTTCTGACATATTGCCAGGAGGTCAATAGTAGCCTAACGCAGTGTCACACTGCTGACATTTGGGACAATCACGCCTGTAATCCCCGCACTTTGGGAAGCCAAAGTGTGAGGATTGCTTCAGGCCAGGAGTTTGAGGGCCAGTCTGGTCAACATAGTCAGACCCCATCTCTACAAAAGAAAAATTTAAAAACTAGCCCGGTGTGGTGGTGCATGCCAGTAGTTCCAGCTACCAGGGAGGCTGAGGCAGGAGGATCACTTCCTCTCATCCCGTAGGCATTTATTTCATCCTCTCACATTATCACAAGAAGGAGGAGGAGTACAGTACAGTCAGATCTGTTGAGAGAGAGAGAGAGAGAGAGACCACATTCACATAACTTTTATTACGGTATATTGTTATAATTGTTCTATTTTATTATTAGTTATGGTTGTTAATCTCTTACTGTGCCTAACTTAGAAATTAACTTTATCAGCCCGGCGTGGTGGCTAATGCCTGTAATCCCAGCACTTTGGGAGGCCAAGGCGGGTGGATCGCCTTAAGTGAGGAGTTCGAGACCAGCCTGGCCAACATGGTAAAACTCCATCTCTACTAAAAATACAAAAAATTAGCCAGGCGTAGTGGTGGGCACTTCTAATTCCAGCTACTCAGGAGACTGAGGCAGGAGAATCACTTGAACCCAGGAGGCGGAGGTTACAGTGAGGCGAGATTGCGCCACTGCACTCTAGCCTGGACAACAAGAGCAAAACTCTGTTTCAAAAAAAAAAAAAAAAAAAAAGAAAAGAAAATAAATTTATCGGCCGGGTGCAGTGGCTTACCTTATGTCTGTAATCTAAGCACTTTAGCAGGCCGAGGTAGGCAGATCACCCAAGGTCAGGAGTTTGAGACCGGCCTGGCCAACATGGTGAAATGCTGTCCCTACTAAAAATATAAAAATTAGCTGGGTATGGAAGTGGACGCCTATAATCCCAGCTACTCGGGAGGCTGAGGCAGGAGAATCACTTGAACCCGGAAGGCAGAGGTTGCAGTGAGCCGAGATTGTGCCATTACACTCCAGCCTGGGCAACAAGAGCAAAACTCCATCTCAAAAAGTTAACTTTATCGTAGGTATGTATGTATAGGAAAAAAGATAGTATTTGTAGAGTCAGTCCTGTCCCTGGTTTCAGGCATCCCTTGGGGGTCTTGGAACGCGTCCTCCATGCATAAGGGACGATTAATGTATAAGCTTTTCTCTGAAGACCTTGGCCATCAGGAAGGTAGGAAGCCAAACCAAAGCATTTCTGACCCACATATTAAGCTTGCATAAGCTCCCTCAGCTGGAAAACTTCGTGAACTTGAGTCCTTACAGTTTAGATTTACATCCTGAAAGTTATCACAGTGTGGTGAAATTGTTCGGATGTTTATCTTCTCACTAGACCTTGAGCTTCCTGAGTGCAGGGACTGTGTCTTGCAATTCTGATTCCCAGCAACTAGCACAAATGACTGCCTTTGAATTGGATTCATTGAAAGGCAACTGAAATAATGTGGATGAGGATTTTCTGAGCCTTCAAATTTTTTTAAAGGACTTCTCAGTCTGGAAAGATGAAATTTGAATAGGGATAGAAAGTTTATTAGATTATGAATGGTTTGGATAGGCTATACATTGGTTCCCATATTCTTTTTTTTTTTTTTTTTTTTGAGACAGAGTCTTGCTCTGTTGCCCAGGCTGGAGTGCAGTGGCGCAATCTCGGCTCATTGCAAGTTCTGCCTCCCAGATTCATGCCATTCTCCTGCCTCAGCCTTCTGAGTAGCTGGGATTACAGGCGTCCGCACCACGCCTGGCTAATTTTTTGTATTTTTAGTAGAGATGGGGTTTCAACGTCAGGATGGTCTCGATCTCCTGACCTTGTGATCTGCCCACCTCGGCTTCCCAAAGTGCTGGGATTACAGGTGTGAGCCACCGCGCCCAGCAGGTTCCCATATTCTACAATGTTCATATGTAAAAGAAATACCACCTGTCACACAGGATAAATTCCTTCAGTTTAGTAGCTTGCAGTTACATACTATCCAACCACCATTATTTATTTCACAAAAGCCTTCACACACACCATACAATGGAATATTACTCAACCACAAAAAAGGAATGAAGTAGTAATCCATGCTAAAATATAAATGAACCTTGAAACATTATGCCAAGTGAAAGAAGCCAGAAACAAAAAGCTATATATTATATGATTTAATTTATATAAATGTCCAGAGTAGGCAAATCTATAGAGACAGAAAGCTGATCAGTGATTGCCAGGGACTGGGGAGTTGGGAGAAATGGAGAGAGACTGCTTAATGGGTATGAGGTTTCCTTTTGGGCTGATGAAAAGTTCTAGAATCAGCCTGGCCAACATAGTGAAACCCAGTTTCTACTAAAAATACAAAAATTAGCTGGGCATGGTGGCAGGTGCCTGTAATCCCAGCTACTTGGGAGGCTGAGGCAGGAGAATCGCTTGAACCTGGGAGGCAGAGTTTTGCAATGAGCTGACGTCGTGCCACTGCACTCCAGTCTGGGGAACAGAGTGAGACCCTGTCTCAAAAAAAAGAAAAAGAAAGTTCTGGAATAAGTAGTAGTGATAGTTGCACAACATTGGGAGTGTATTTTGCCAATGAATTTATACTTTTGTTAAAATGGTCATTTTTGTTATGTATTTTACAATTTATTTTTAAAAAGGAAAAAAGCTTCCATATATAGCTGCTCCATTAGAAACAAGTACTACTTTTCATAAAGAGTCATTTCTCTAGGAGCTTTATGGTATTGAGCAGCCCAGGCAATTTGGGAAGGCTGAGGGCTTCCTGGTGTAAAAGATTCAAAACAGTTTTATGTAGAGTGGCAATGGGTTATTAAAGTGAACTAGGAGATGTTGGGGATACATCTAACTTCTGAAGGTGCTGAAAAGGAGAGGCATTTCTTTTTTTTTTTTTATTTTTTTATTTTTTTGAGATGGAGTTTCTCTCTTGTTGCCCAGGCTGTGGAGCACAATGGTGTGATCTCAGCTCACTGCAACCTCTGCCTCCTGGGTTTAAGCGATTCTCCTGCCTCAGCCTCCCGAGTAACTGGGATTAGAGGCACCCACTACCACGCCCAGCTAGTTGTATATTTTTAGTAGAGACGGGGTTTCTCCATGTTGATCAGGTTGGTCTCGAACTCCCAACCTCAGGTGATCTGCCCACCTCGGCCTCCCAGAGTGCTGGGATTACAGGTGGGAGCCACCGTGCCCAGCAAGGAGAGGCATTTCTTTGAGTATATCTCTTCATGTCACTGTCATAAAACTGGTACAGCCATAAAACTGGTAAGAACATCAGACCAGATTCAGTGTAGCCACCCCTATGGTGTCACTGTGGCCAGTCAGCAAGTTAGAAGCTCTAGGGAGTCTCTTTGCTTCCTGGCCTCCTGGCTTGTGAGTTTGTTTTCTTTTTCCTAAAATACTTTATTTGGATGCATGTGAAATCAACCCTCAGACCTGCATGCATAAGCTAGAGGGGGCCCCCCATTGAGTGTTGGATAAAGTTTTTGAGTTTTGTCAAGAACAGTGACCAGATGTGACCAGGGTTAGTGGTTTGTGGTCATTGCTTGCTAAACTTTTTCTTTCCGTGGTACTTCTCAAACATTCTTAATTTTCCATGACACACCAGAGTGCTGAGGATTGAGGTTAAGTGGGATGGACAGGCAGAGTGCTGTAAGATGTGTGCTCCCGTGGTAATATTTGGTTTAGTCAAGGAAAGAGAAATGGGGAGGGATAGACAGAGAGATGAAAGAGAGGAAATATAAAAGTTGAGAGAGGAGGAAAAGGAGCCAAGAGTGATACTGAAAGGCAAAGCAACAGATATCTCCTGTTGAAAATGCCCTCTGTGTTACTGTATAGGATCTGCTTTCCTGTACCATGATTACTCTTCCTGGTCTTAATAGTCAGGGGCCGGCCGGGCGTGGTGGCTCACGCCTGTAATCCCAGCACTTTGGGAGGCTGAGGCAGGTAGATCACTTGAGGTCAGGGGTCTGAGACCAGCCTGGCCAACATGGTGAAACCCCATCTGTACTAAAAATACAAAAATGAGCCGGGTGTGGTGGCGTGTGCCTGTAATTCCAGCTACTCAGGAGGCTGAGGCAGGAGAATCACTTGAACCCAGGACGCGGAGGTAGCAGTGAGCTGAGACCGTGCCACTGCACTCCAGTCTGGGCAACAAGAGTGAAACTCCATCTCAAAAAAAAAAAAAAAAAAAAGGAATGCATAACCCGGAGGTATAATGCAAATATTCCAATATCCAAAGTTCGAAACATTTCTGGTCTCAAGCATTTTGGATAAGGGATACTCAACTGTATTTCAAAGTAGCTGAAAGAACAAATTTTAAATGTTGTCACTACAAAAAAAAAAAAAAAGTATGTGAGATAAGGGATATGTTAACTAACTTGATATAATCATTCCACAATGTGTGTAGATACTAAAACATTACTTTGTACCCCATAAATATATATTCTTTGTCATCTAAAAATAAAAAATTTTAAAAATATATCTTTGTCCCTACTTCTGTGAAATTATTTAATTGTGCTCTCATTTAGAGAGTCATTTAAGCCAGAAGTCACAAATTCAAATGGCAACCAGGTAAAGAAAATGAGATATGTGGCCAGGCATGGTGGCTCACACCTGTAATCCCAGCACTTTGGGAGGCCGAGGCAGGCGGATCACCTGGGGTCAGGAGTTTGAGACCAGCCTGGCCATTGTGGTGAAACCCTGTCTCTAATAAAAATACAAAAATTAGCCGGGTGTGGTGGCGCATGCTTGTAATCCCAGCTACTGAGAAGGCTGAGGCAGAAGAATCACTTGAAACCTGGAGCAGAGGTTTCAGTGAGCTGAGATTGCACCGTGGCACTCCAGCCTGGGTGACAAGAGCAAAACTCCATCTAAAAAAAAAAAAGAAAGAAAATGAGAGCTGTGTGTATATGACAGTCAGGAGTGGCAGGTGTCCCTGTGAACTAGAGCCCACAGAGAACTTGCTCTTCAGCCCCTCGTCTGCTACCCTGTGGAACTGTGGCCCCAGGATGCCATATCACCTGTCTCCTGAGAGAGAAAGAGAGAGAGCGATGATTTTGTGTAAACTTTGCCGATTTTTAAAACACTGACCAGGTTAAAACACAACTGCAAATCAGACTTGGCTCCCTGGCTGCCAAGTTATGACCAAGGATGTAAGCTAACAAGTCACTAAACCAGATGCAAAGGCTGGGTGTGTTGTGTGTGAGACAGTGGGAAGTCAATGAGTTTGTTATTCACCTTTTAGAGTCGCTTAGTTTGATTTTAAAAATATCACCAGGAAATCATCCATAGTAGGGAAACTGGAGCTTTGATGGGAAAGTGATGTTATGACCTGAGTTGGGGGTGTGGGTGGGGCAGGCAAGCAGGCCTACATGAGGTGGCATTGTGCATCTTTGCAGGCCAGAGACAGCAGTGTGGGGTCTCAGTGTGCCTGGGCACTGAACAGAGGAGGGCTGGGTGATGGGAAGAGAGCAAAGAAAGGAAGAGGTTTGGTGGCTCATGCCTGTAATCCCAGCACTTTGGGAGGCTGAGGTGAGCAGATCACCTGAGGTCAGGAGTTTGAGACCAGCCTGACCAACATGGCGAAACCCCGTCTCTACTAAAAATACAAAAATTAGCTGGGTGTGGTGGCGGACGCCTGTAATCCCAACTACTCGGGAGGCTGAGGCAGGCGAATTGCTTGAACCCAGGAAGCAGAGGTTGCAGTGAGACAAGATCACGACATTGCATGACAGCCTGGGCAACAGAGCGAGACTCTATCTCAAAAAAAAAAAAAAAAAAAAGTTTAGTATCAGAGGCAGACTGCCCACCTACAGCATTTTACCTGGAGCCTCCGTGGTCTTGACCCCTTCCTCCTTCCCAAATCAATTGAAAAACATCTCCTTAGCCTAAAAGGTGAAATTTGCAAGTATATGCAAGGAAGCATCCTGTACTTAGGCAGCAAAAGTCCTGGGCTGTTGAGCAAACTAGATTAACTTTGCTTTAAGTGGTTGTTGTTATATTTTGTAACTTTTTTCATTGTGCCACTAATCAATTCCTGGTACTTGGGCCTCCTCATGTAACCTATTTACTCTTTTTTACAAAAAGAACATTTTTTAAAAGTTAAGGGAACCTGGGTGAAAATTAACTTGAATTTTTAATTAGGTCGGGCTTTTATTTTTTAACATCAGTATTAACCTGGAATTAATATTTCTCATCAAAGAACGCAAACCAGAACACTACAGGAGTGGAAGCTTCGCAGCAGAAGGGAGGCCCTATCCGGCAGATGGGGAGGGCCAAGGGAGCAGGAGGAGGGGGTGGGGTTGGCTGAGTTGGTAACAGGAGCAGTCTGTGAGAAGTCTGCTGGCTTATCTGTTCCCAGTAGGGAACTGCTCTTCACTTTCCCCATCGCAGGTTTGACATCCATCACCACCATGCCTGCCTCCCTGATCTGATGGCAGGATTTATATAGTGAGGCTCTGAAAAAGTGGAAAGGGAGGTGCATGGGAACCAGCTGTGAAATGATAAATCAAGACCTCTTTAAGGTCCAGGATTATTTTGGCATCTTTCACATGAGAGGCTTTAAGAAGCAGGAATATGGCTAAAAGCATGGGGTTTATTTTAAGAGAGAAAACAGTTACAATGATCAGTTTGGCTGTTTAAATAGACGTAGCTTCATCATGGCTCCAATGTGGCTGTTTTGCACCTAGCAGTAGAGAGAACAGTTCTAATTAACCCCTTTCATCTGATTTTACTGTCTCTGGGTAAACTGAGCCCCATCCATCATTCCAAAGGCTCTATAAAAACTTGGAGTGGTTGAGAGTACCCGGGGCAACAGTGTGGTTTGGTTTCTAAGGCTACGTATCGAAGAATCACATCTCCACTGCTTCTTGAACTGGAGCAGAAGCATTTCTGGGTTTTGTGGTCCAGATCCTCTTGGGGCATGTTTTTCTTAGAAACCTTCTCCATCTCCTGGCTCCAGCTGTCCTTACCACTCAGTGCATCCTCACATTTGCAGCTTTTTTTTTTTTTTTTTTTTTTTTTGAGACAGTTTCACTCTTGTCACCAGGCTGGAGTGCAATGGCACAATCTTGGCTCACTGCAACCTCCGCCTCCCGGGTTCAGGCGATTCTCCTGCCTCAGCCTCCCAAGTAGCTGGGACTACAGGCACGTACCACCACACCTGGCTAATTTTTGTATTTTTAGTACAGACGGGGTTTCACCATATTGGTCAGGCTAGTCTTGAACTCCTGACCTCATGCTCTGCCCACCTCAGTGTCCCAAAGTGCTGGGATTACAGGCGTGAGCCACCGCGCCCGGCCATTTGCACTTTTATCTGCACATCTGTCTCTTGATCTCCCTGTCATTTCCTGGCACTCAAAAAGTTTAAACCAAATTCATCATTTGCAACCCCTCACCCCACTATCATAAACACACGCGCCACACACACTTGAAACCCAGACAAGAAGCCAGCCCACACCGGTATTTGTGTTTGGCACCACTGTTCTTCCCGTAGCTCTGGCTGGACAATTCCTTTCCTATGTGGAGCTCTTTCTCCTCCTCCAGTGCCTACTGCCCCTCAGGCCATAGCATGTCTTGCACGCTTAGGGCTCTCCCTTTGCATTTTCTCTGTCACCATTCTCTGAAGGGCCCCCCACTGGATCATCCTGAAACACTACTCTTATCTTGCCAGGCCCTTGTTAGTGTAAACCTTGGAGAGCTCCAACCTGGCTCTGGAGCAGGGGTCCCCAACCCCTGGGCCAGGACTGGTACCGGTCTGTGGCCTTTTAGGAACTGGGCCGCACAGCAGCAGGTGAGCGGTGGTTGAGCGAGCATTACCACCTGAGCTCCGCCTCCTGTCAGATCAGTGGCAGCATTAGATATAGGAGCGCAAACCCTATTGTGAACTGCACATCCGAGGGATGTAGGTTGTGTGCTTCTTATGAGACTCTAATGCCCGATGATCTGAGATGAAACAGTTTCATCCCGAAAACCATCTCCCCCTTCCCCTCCAGGCCGTGGAAAAATTGTCTTCTGTGAACCTGGTCCCTGGTGCCAAAAAGGTTGGGGATGGCTGCCCTAGAGTGCACAGCCCACAGTCCTTGGCTCTGGATCTGAGGCTCTCCACGGTCTCTCTACATGGTCTCGTCTGCCACCTTGTTCCTCTACCCCTATGGAAACCTCCCACTATAGCCAAACCAGTTATTTCTTCTCCCCCAAACCTAGCTTGTCCATTTCTGCTTCTCAGCATTTGCTCACACAGTGGGCTCCCCTCAGTTGCTGTTCAACTTCAAATCTTGCTTCAGCTGCACTTGAGTCATGTCTTGGCCGGGCGCGGTGGCTCATGCCTGTAATCCCAGCACTTTAGGAGGCCGAAGCCGGCAGATTACCTGAGGTCAGGAGTTCGAGACCAGCCTGGCCTACATGGTGAAACCCCGTCTCTACTAAAAATACAAAAATTAGCCAGGCCTGGTGGCACATGCCTGTAATCCCAGCTACTCGGGAGGCTGAGGCAGGAGAATCGCTTGAACCCAGGAGACAGAGGTTGCAGTGAGCCGAGATCACGCCATTGCACTCTAGCCTGGCAACAGAGCAAGACTCTGTCTCAAAAAACAAACAAACAAAAAAGTCATGTCTTGTGGCGACTACTCTACTTTCCCTCTATGCCAATTACGTATTTTCACTCTTTCGTTTATTAGAGATCCATGAATATATGTATCTTTGGAAGAGAAGCCATGCCTCCTTCTCTTTATTCATTGTGGAGGCCAGGCGGGCATAGAAAGGAGTGAGGCTGCAGTAGAGAAGCAAAACCAGAGAGCATCCCTCTCAAGAGGTCAGCCCCAGGTGATTGTTGCCAGGTAGCAATGTGGGCCCAATATCGCAGTCTCTTCTGATTTTTCAAGGCAAGCCAAAACCTCCATTTCCATGTGAAATTGCTTAATTTCGACTTTCCACATGATACTTTAAAGGTGGTATCTACTAGAGAAAAGAGTCCCTTATAATTTACAATTTTAAATTTTACAATTTATAATTTATATATATAATATATATTTATATATATAATTTATAATTTATAATTTAAATTTTACAATTTAAAAATCATTTCAGCTGGGTGCGGTGGCCCACGCCTGTAATCCCAGCACTTTGAGAGGCCGAGGCAGGCAGATCACCTGAGGTCGGGAGTTTGAGACCAGCCTAACCAACATGGAGAAACCCCGTCTCTACTAAAAATACAAAATTAGCCAGGCATAGTCGCACATGCCTGTCATCCCAGCTACTCAGGACGCTGAGGCAGGAGAATCGCTTGAACCCGGGAGGCAGAGGTTGCGGTCAGCCCAGATTACGCCATTGCACTCCAGCCTGGGCAACAAGAGCAAAACTCCATCTCAAAAAAAAAAAAAAAAAAAAAAAAATCAAGTGCAACATTGATAAGAAACAGCAATATATTCACTGGAAAAATACAAAGCCTGCCTTTCAAGATAACTTTAGGATTCATAAGAGTAGATTTTCTGGAAAATCAGGAGTTGAATGTTCCATCCTGTGAATTTAGGATTTAAATGATAGAAAACCATGCTAGTGTTTATCATGTTTTCCTTTTGCAGATAAATTTAAGTACTATAAATTCCCGTTACTTAACATAGCCAGATGCCTTTAATATCTTCTAATTTTCATTTTGTGAAAATGTTCAGTGAAACAAATTTTTAAATGGCATTTTCCCAGATCGACATTAGAGGACAAGTCTGTTTGAGAGGGCTATTAATTGCTCAGAGAGTCTGCATGTTGGGGAAAATCACAGCCCTTTCCAGCTTTGATAAATGAGAGAAGGTCACCTGAGGGAAAGGAGCAGCTGCCCTCTTTGATAGGCTGAGAAAACAGGAGTTACTGGCCTCGGCAGGTGTTTGGAGAATTCCCACGCAGGTGCACATTCCAAATGAACTATTTATTACACGTGGGCTTCTGTGACATGGTCATCTTTCACCCATTCATCACATTTTTATTGAATCCCTTCAGCAATGCTGTGCTATGGGAGGATCCCGCGGTTGCGTCAGCCTTAGAGTCCTACCTTCAAGTTGCTTAAAGTCCAGCAGGAGAGAGAAAGAAACACCACAATCATGCTCATACAAGACAGAATCTCATCAGTGTTTCTTAGCTCCTAAATGACCAACTTAAAGCATTCATAATAATAGTCAGAGTAAGCAGTATCCATGGCGCTTTCAAAGATACATAATGTCTCTTTCGGTCCTTACGCCAATTCTGTGGGAAAGTTTGATTCCAGTCTTGTCTGTCTTATATATGTGATGACAGAAGCCGGGCACATTCCTGTCTCATAAAGAAAAAGCCCTTTCTGAGCATAGGCCAATAGACAGAGTACACAGCAGGAATGAGGAGTCCTTTTTTTTTTAGATGGTGTCTCACTCTGTCGCCCAGGCTGGAGTACAGTGGCGCAGTGGCGCGATCTCGGCTCACTGCAACCTCCACCTCCTGGGTTCAAGGAATTCCCCTGCCTCAGCCTCCCAAGTAGCTGGGATTACAGGCACCTGCCATGACGCCTGGCTAATTTTTTGTATTTTTAGCAGAGACAGGGTTTCACCGTATTAGCCAGGACGTTCTCGATCTCCTGACCTCGTGATCCACCTGCCTCGGCCTCCCAAAGTGCTGGGATTACAGGCGTGAGCCACTGCACCCGGCCTGAGGAGTCCTTTTATACTGGAGTTAATTAAGTTCCTAGAAGTTTTCTTGATTGGTTGGTTGGTTTTTGGAAGCATTTTGATTAGTTATGTAATCAAGAATGAGTAGAGAGAGGAATTTAAAACACTTCGTTTACTTGTCTCCCTGAGCAGCCGCATGCCAAGGTTGTAGACAGAGGTGCGGTGTCTGATTCTAGGGTTTCTGGGATGGCTCTGGGTCTCAGGATGCTGTAGTCTTATACTGTGATTCTCTGGCTTTCATATTTAAGAGCTTCACCTGGAATTTTTTTTTTTTTTTTTTTTTGAGACGGAGTCTCGCTTTGTCAACCAGGCTGGAGTGCAGTGGCATGATCTCTGTTCACTGCAAGCTCCGCTTCCCGGGTTCACGCCATTCTCCTGCCTCAGCCTCTGGAGTAGCTGGGATTACAGGCACCCGCCACCACAACCAGCTAATTTTTTGTATTTTTAGTAGAGACAGGGTTTCACTGTGTTAGCCAGGATGGTCTCGATCTCCTGACCTTGTGATCCACCCGCCTCAGCCTCCCAAAGTGCTGGGATTACAGGCGTAAGCCACGTCATCTGACTGGAATGTTTTTTAAAATGCAAACATCTGGGCCCCACACACAGAGATACCGATTCAGGGGGTCTTGGGCCTTGGAAATTGATTTTATTAAATACCCTCAGATGATCCTGAAATAGGTGGTCCTTGGAAACTGTTCTTTGAAAAGCTATGCTGTATCAGTAGAAGAGAGTAGACAAAAATCTCACTGCAGAAATGGAGTGGCCATGACAAAGACCATGTGAGTGGTCCATCCACAGTGCTGCAGGAGTTGAGGGTTGAGAAACAGATCAGTTCCAGCCACCATGACTGGAAGAGACTTGAGTTAGCACAGACAAAATGGGTGGACTCTTGGTAGTTTGAAATGAGTAAGGAATTACTCAGGAGTGGAATGAGCTGAAGCACCATGTGTCTTCAGGGGATCTGATCAAGTCACTCCTCAGTTTAAAAACCCTTCAGAATACCTGGACGCTGTGGCTCACGCCTGTAATCCCAGCACTTTGGGAGGCTGATGTAGGCGGATCACCTGAGGTCAGGAGTTTGAGACCAGCCTGGCTAACATGGTGAAAACCCATCTCTACTAAAAATACACAAGTTAGCCGGGCGTGGTGGCGGGCACCTGTAATCCCAGCTACTCTGGAGGCTGAGGCAAGAGAATAATTTGAACCCGGGAGGCGGAGGTTGCAATGAGCCAAGATCACACCATTGCACTCCAGCCTGGGCGACAAGAGTGAGACTCCATCTCAAAAAAAAAAAAAAAAAAAAAATCCTTCAGAGGTGCCCCAAAGCCCTCAGAATAAAGTCCAAACTCCTCAGCACTGGTTTCCGTAGCCTAGCAGGATCTAGTCTCAGGCCGAATCTTCCTTCACTTCCTTCCCCGTTGGCCACACTGCACCCTTTCTCAATACACACTTTCTTTTTCTCTTCCATGGACTAGGATCCAGCCACCCTGAACAGTTGGCATCCCTGGCTTTCCTTTATTTTGGTGGCCTTGTACACATTCCCGCCTCTACCCAGAATACCTGCCCTCTTTTCTATCCCGCATTTCCCTTCACTAACTTTTCAGTCCTTCAGGGTTGATTTGGGATGGTATGTCCTCCAGAACAGCACAGACGCAGTATCTGGGGATCTTGTTAATACGCAGGTTCTGGCCGGGCACAGTGGCTTACGCCTGTAATCCCAGCACTTTGGGAGGCCAAGGCGGGCAGATCACCTGAGGTCAGAAATTCGAGATCAGCCTGCCCAACATGGTGAAACCCCGTCTCTACTAAAAATACAAAAATTAGCGGGGCATGGTGGCGTGTGCCTGTAATCCCAGCTGAGGCAAGATAATCGCTTGAACCCAGGAGGTGGAGGTTGCAGTGAGCTGAGATTACACCACTACACTGTAGCCTGGGCAACAGAATGAGACTCGATCTCAAAAAAAGAAATAAAATAAGAGATGGCAGAGGAGAGTAAGTGGTCCCTAGGATTTTGAGGAGTATACTACTTGGCTCATCCTCTATCCCAGTATGGACATTGAAATAAGTTATCAACCTCCTTTGAAATACTAATGAGCTCTTTTTCTTCCACAACTCAAGCAGTGTTTTGTATTCTGGGAAAAAGCCTTTTCTCTTTAATTTTTGTGCTTCAAAGTTTCTTTTTTAAATGGATGTATATTTTCCTGTGGAATTCTCAAGATAGTTTTTCATGTGTGTTTGTAGGGACGACATGTTTTAGAAATTTCTTTCCAATCCTCTTAGGCATTGTCTGAGAGTTTTTCTGACGTGTAAAGCTCTCAGTTCCCTTTTATTGTTTCCTGAGCTGTTAGGACTACCTCATTCCATTTTACTTTAAACTTAACATTTTCCAGGGAATGATTGGAATTGAAATAGGCATTCATTCAAATGTTCAGAACTTCATTTCTCCTGCACCCACTTCTGGCTGTGG
Source organism: Homo sapiens (assembly GCF_000001405.40). NCBI lineage: Eukaryota > Metazoa > Chordata > Mammalia > Primates > Hominidae > Homo > Homo sapiens. The sequence continues at coordinate 9,336,886 of NC_000017.11, read as the reverse complement.
CCTTGTAGGAATAAGAATGGAAACTAACAAAAAGTGATAATAAAAGGGGAAGACCTTGGTGAGTAAATATCAAACATACCATTTCACCCTGAAGCTTTTTTTTTCTAGCTATATTTACTACCCCTCTAAATACCCAGTTAGAAATTGAAAGTAGGCTGGGCACGGTGGCTTACACCTGTTATCCCAGCACTTTGGGAGGCCGAGGTGGGTGGATCACAAGATCAGGAGTTCGACACCAGCCTGGCCAATATGGTGAAACTCCATCTCTACTAAAAACACAAAAATTAGCTGGACGTGTTGGCGGGCGCCTGCAGTCCCAGCAACTCGGGAGGCTGAGGCAGGAGAATTGCTTTAACCTGGGAAGCGGAGGTTGCAGTGAGCTGAGATCGTGCCACTGCACTCCAGCCTGGGACACAGAGTGAGACTCCATCTCAAGAAAGAAAGAAGGAAGGAAGGGGAAGGAAGGAAGGGGAAGGAAGGGAGGAAGGGGAAGGGGAGAAAGAAAGGAAGGAAAGGAAAGAAAGGAAAGAAATCTAAAGTATTGTCTATTTTCCTCATTCCTGGCATGGTCGTTTTGCACCTATCCACCTGTGAAGTTGTTCTTGGCAGATGGATCTTGATCATTCCTTTAGGCTTCTACTCCCTAGCAGAAAGCATTTTCACCCTGGTTTGCATTCAGCACTTGCTTTTCTACAAGGTGTTGAATCCTCATACCGATAAAGTTCATAAGTCACATTAGAAGGGGTTTGAAATGCTAATTCACAGCTGTTGACAGGTATGAATTCCCATCAGCCTGGAATGTTTCGCCTATTCAAAGTAATAGAGCATCCTTGAATATAATCTCTTTTAAAACCCAGAAATGTGATACCTGGTTGCTTCAAGCTAAGAAAGAGAAAACTTCCCTGAGATGCCCAGAGCAGTTTTGTCTCAAGAAATCAATAAACACATAGCCATATAACCCCCCAGAAATGTTCCTATAGAGCTTTATGTATAGCTTTAGGTATTTATGTTCATGTGAGTATATTTACGTGAGTGTGAGTGTGTGTGTGTGTGTCTACGTGTGTGTGTGTGTGAGAGAGAGAGAGCCCACCTTGAATGCCATGGTTGTATTAGTGTAACTATAATTTATTTTTCGAAATTCTTGAGGTAAAGATCTAGCTCATATATTATCTTTTTTAAAAAAACTTATTGAAGGTTATTTCTGATTTTAAAAAATAATCAATTTACTGTAGAAAAATGGTACCATAAAGAACAATAAACAAAATAAAAATTCACTTCCTACAAATCATGACTACTAACAGTTTGGGTGTATCTTTCCAGTTTTTTTTCTATGAATGCATATAGCGTGTCTACATGTGCTGTGGTTTGAATGTCTCTGCCAAAACTCACATTGACATTTGATTGCCATTATGATGGTCTTAAGAGGTGAGACCTTTAAGAGGTGATTAGATCATGAGGGCCGTGCCCTCATCAGTGGATTAGTGCTGTTATCACCAAGTGGGTTACTTATGTTAGAAATAAATTTTCAGTGCCGCAAAAGAAATAGCACTCAAACATAAATTTAATTTTCTCAGCAAGGCAATTTTACTTCTGTAGAAGAGTGTGACTTGCAGATGGAGCAATGGTGAGAGCACAGCTGAACAAGAGAGGGGAAGGGGTTTTTATTCCTGACGCAGGTAACCCCTGCTGCTGTGTTGTTCCCCTATTGGCTAGGGTTGGATCACACAGTCTAAGCTAATTCCGATTGGCTATTTTAAAGAGAGCAGGGGTATGAGTCAGAGTGGTGGGGTGAATAGTTTGATGGGAAGAACAGTTAGGAACAGGTGACTCAGGTCAGAGCAGGTGACCAGGGGTGACTCAGATCGAAGCGGTGACCAGGAAATAGATGTGAACTACTGATTAGAAATGGTGGAAAAGGTTGTTTACTGAAACTAGGGGCAAGGAGAATGAGAAAGTTAAACTTTAAAATGGAGAACAAAGAACTGAACATACTGACATACTGATTCTTTGACGGGAAATTTAGAACTCACTGTATTTAACACTTATCAAGGGAATTCAGCCCCCTTTTCCTGTCTGTCTTATGTGCTCATTTATGCCTTCCACCCTTCCACCTGGTTTGACCCTCATCAGAGTGCCATGTTCTTGTACTTCCCAGCCTTCAGAACCATGAGCCAAATAAATTCTTCCATTGATAGATGCCTAGTCTGTGATATTCTGTTATAGCAGCAACAAAACTAAGCAAACATGTATTGTCTTTTTTATTCCTTTCAACCATTTTGGGATCATATCCTGCATACTTCGAGACTTACTTTTCTCACTTCCCAAGCCGAAACCGCCTTTGCAAAATTATGACTGAGACAGTGAAAGAGGTCCAATTTAAACGACTCCATCTTGCCTCTAACCTCCAAGCTGTCCTTGTTCATTCCTGGGTTTAGGCTGAACTAACGTTGGGAGAAACTTAGTTTATAGTTTTAAAAGTTTAAAACAAAGATGATAGTAGCTCTTTTCCAGAAAAAATTTCCTTCTTGCCTGGGGACTAGACTACTAACATTAACCACAAGATTATAAGTTATGCTTTAGGAGTCATGTAGCTGGAGACTACAAGATTCTGGCCCTCCCTAAACTGCTCCTACAGTCAGGACTTGAGATGGTTTCCAGACTCTACCCTTGATGGATCAACCGGCACCACCCAGATTGAGAAACCAGCCCATCTGATCTTGTGACTGCCCCCCACCCCCACACCCCCCCGCACCCAGGAACTGACTCAGTGCAAGAAGACAGGGACGACCCATGATTTCACCTTCGACCCAACCAATCAGCACTCCCCAGCTCACTGCCCCTCCCCTCCCACCAAATTGTTTTTTAAAACCTTGATCCCCAAATGTTCAGGGAGACTGGCTTGAGTAATAATAAAACTCCAGTCTCCTGCTCAGCCGGTTCTGTGATAATTACTGTTTCTCTATTGCCATTCCCCTGTCTAGAGAAATCGGCTCTGTCTAGGCAGCAGGTAAGGTGAACCCACTGGGCAGTTACAAATTGGGTAAGGTGAACCCATTGAGCAGTTAGGCAGTCTGAAAAATTTCTATGTCTTCCATGTTTTCCAACAAAATGACTGTGTAACTTTTAAAAAACATGTGTGTGTTATATCTATTTACATGACCTCCTGCTTGAAGCAAGTGTTTATTATAAGTTATTTTAGGCCAGGCGCCGTGGCTCACGCCTGTAATCCGAGCACTTTGGGAGGCCAAGGCGGGCGGATCACAAGGTCAGGAGATCCAGACCATCCTGGCTAACACAGTGAAACCCCATCTCTACTAAAAAAATACAAAATATTAGCTGGGCGTGGTGGCGGGCGCCTATAGTCCCAGCTACTCGGGAGGCTGAGGCAGGAGAATGGCGTGAACCCGGGAGGCGGAGCTTGCAGTGAGCCGAGATCATGCCACTGCACTCCAGCCTGGGTGACAGAGCAAGACTCTGTTTCAAAAAAAATAAAATAAGTTATTTTAATTTGAAAGCTAGAGGAACAGAAAACCAAATACCATGTGTTCTCACTTATAAGTGGGAGATACACATTGAATACACATGGACATAAAGATGGGAACAAAAGACATTGGGGACTATTGTGGGGGAGAGAGGGAGGGGAGCAAAGGCTGAAAAACCACCTATTGGATACTGTGCTCACTACCTCGCTGAGGGGATCATTCGTACCTTAAACCTCAGTGTCACACAATATACCCATGTGACAAATCTGTATATGTACCTCCTGAATCTAAAAATTGAGATTATTATTTTTTAATCCCAAAAGAAAGCACAGTTAAAAAAGAATTGAAAGCTGGAAGCGACAGGAAACTTGGACGCATATCTTCATTCTCGGTAGGGGAATACTCTGCTTTAAGAAGTATTGTGTCTCGTTCTCATCTTGAAGCCCTTGGGCGTGGCAGCTGAAAGCTTTTAAAGATGGGATGCATTTCCCCAAAGGTAGCCAAAAATATCATTACCTCCCTAGGCAAATACGTCTTGGGTGCTAGGCACTGTGTTGGGTGAGGTAGGATACAATGGTGGTCCCTGCCCTCAGGGAGCTTATATTGCAGTTGGGGGAGGGAATCGAGATAGTAAACAGTAAGCAGGCACACATAAATGTAATAATTACCAATTGTGTTACAGTCTAGACAGCCAGAAGGCCCTCTGGATGTAGAGACTCTGAAAAAGGATCCAGTTCTGCATTACTGATTTTATTAACATCGTTAAGATTGTCACTAGACAATGGTTTGAATAACATAAGAATGTTTAAGCATTTATGACAGATGACTGAAACATAGCACCATTAGCTCCATTTGGATGAATTATAAAATAGTCTCCAGTTCCTTGGAACCTTGGGAGAAGTGAAATGTCATTACAGATCTAGGTCTCTAGAAGAAGAAAGCCGCTATTTTTGTCCCTTCCTTTTGTGAATCTTGTCTTCCTTACTTGGTGGATGATGTTGGTTAAGTTAACCAAAGGCAGCACGTCGATCTGATGATTTGTTAACTCCGTCCGCATTGTTCATTGGTGTTTTGGATGAGGGGGAAATGATGAGATCTCTGCCTCTGAGTCATTCTCCCTGACTCCAACTCAACCCTCGTTCCAATTTGCCCATTTCCCATTATGGAGCAGAAAAGACTGCTTAAGGCCTGGTTTATTTACCTAATAAACTGGCTCTTGTATTGCCTGGGAAATGCTAAAATTTTTCAGCTAAGAAATCCTAGTAACAAGCAAACAGAGGTCCAGCAGTCAGGACTGAAGAAACAACAAAATGAAGGTCAGCTAATATCGCCATTATTCTCCTTCCTGGTGGCCATGACAGCGCTGGGGTTTATTTGAAGATCCCAGACTCGGAATCATTGCCCGCATTGTTAGCCGCCCAAGTATTTTAGGCTGTGCCAACAGTTTCAGATATTAATGTATTCTACAGATCCGTGAATGAAGAATTCCTCTGCACTTTTTTCCCTTTTAATTTTTTTTTTCCTTTCCATACACTTTGTTTGCAGTGTCTTTGTCTGCCAGACGTTGCTGGGCATTTCTAATGAGAAAGCAAAGAATTGCAGAAGGAAAAAGGCAGAGAGGGGGGAGGGAGAGAGAGAACAGGCGGAGGAAAAACAGGGCGTGTTTAGCACTTTAACAGTAAGGTGACATTTTTACAAGCTAGTCAGGTGCACAGGACTCATTGGGGAAAGCAGCATTGGCGATGCAAATTGAGAGCGGAAAGCACATTTTTTGGAAACGTCCAATTCATTGATTAGCTTCTCCCAACAAAAACGCACTTTTATTTTTGAACATCATTTTCCCTGCAGGACACCCGGCCTCGGTCCTGCTTTAGTATTCATCCCAGCTTCATTACTGCAGCCACCTCGCAACCCACCCTGGGCAGCTGCTAAAAGGGGGAAAAATTAAAGCAATTCATACTCCTGGTGACTTACTGCTGCAGAATAATTGGTTTCTGTTTGCAAGGAACATTATCACAGCAAAGCCCAGAAAACAGAAAGGTCTGTCTGAGAGAGGGTTTCTGGGGCTAGGGTGGAGGGGGAGGGGAGGGAGGGATGTGAAAAATCACATTTCTGAAAAGGCAATTAGCTAATAATTAATTTTTTAATATCGTTGCGTAACAGGATGTGTCCTTATGTGATATATGTACATATGCTGGTTTCGTAGCGTATCCTTTGATACCTCATGGAAATGGTAATGAGACTAAACCAGTTAAAGAGCTCTTTAGACAGCACAGTGCTTTGGGGAAGGCCGGAATGAAATGCAGGCCCTCTGAGGGCTTCTCCGACACACAAGAAGTCCCTTTGTTTCCTGTTTTATAAACCAGAGGCATGTCTAAAATTGCAGGGAAAGTGAGAGGGGGTTGAAGAGTTGGCGCCGGAGGCCTGGCTTTCTATATTTAAAAAGAGAAAAAATTGCTAGCTAGTTATTCGTGCCTGGATTTGATAGGCAGTCTAGGCTGTTTTTGAAGTTCTGAAGGAAGGTTCTCTGAAGATGTAAGCGGGATCTGTCTTTCACTTAGACTTAATTAAGAAACTTGCTGGCTTTGTCTGTAGGGGGCCCATTACGCGCAAGCTGCAGCCCCCTCTGAATAGGGGCTCAGCCTGGAAAGTGTATACAAGCCATACCGCCTTTGTGTTGTGTTGCCAAACTGGAGGCAGGAGCGAGTGCGAACGAGGCTCTGCCAGGGGCCATCCCTTGTTGTTCGTAAACGTGAACCCACGTCCCAAACAGAAAGCCGAAGCCAGTGCACGGGCATTCCTGAGGGACCTAGAACTAATAAACCTTTTAGAAAATGGTGATCATCAACAAAAAAGTGGTAGGGGGCAGAAGAGTGTGTATCTTGTTCCCCAGAGCCCTGTTCATACATCGCAAGGATGGACTAACACCAGGGTAACCAGCATCCTCGGAGGCTTTGTGTGTAGACCGGGTTGGGGGGTGGGAGTGGTTAGAGCCTGGCTCCAGGCACAACCTCACTCCCAACTTGATTCCATCCAGGCCAGGGCCTAATTTTGCCTTGGTCGCTGTTCTTGTAACCTTGAGAATAATTTCCCCCTGGTGGGCTACTGTGGCCTACCCTATTTAGAACAAAGTTGCTGAATGCTGGAGAATAAAGAACAGTTGGAAGGCTGTGAGCAGTGGTTAATCAGCTAATTCGCATTTCAAAAGACACTAATAAGAGGTGATAAATTCAAATAAAGCCCTGGGTATGAGTACTTTACTCACTTGGGAAAGCTTACGGAGGGACTCTGCCTCCTGTTTCTCTCTCCCTGCCCATCCTCTCCCTTTCCCTTTGAAGCCGCGGGACCTCCCAGGGTATCGCACCTCTGCCCTCTGCTCCCCTCTGAGCAAGGGGCCTGCACACCTTCACCTTCCTCTTAGCTATGACCAGCTGCACCCTCTGCCTCAGGATCAGCACGCTTCGGGGTCTGCTGCTTCCAATCTGACCCTAGGCCCTCTGAGCCCTCTCCCTCCCCTCCACCCTATTGCCCTTACAGGATCCAACCTCTTCCCTCCCAAATAAATGACAGCTGCCTTATTCCCTCATCTCTGCCTCTTTCCCTGCTCTATCATGTCTGGCAGCCCTTGGCCAACTCTGTCCAGTTGCCATTTGCTTGGCTGTGACGGGCTCCTACCGCTCACTTTGGCATTACTTTGCCTCAGGCAGGCAGCTCCAGCTGCAACGGCCTGAGTGGTCCGATGGGACTCGAAGTGGCTCTGCATCCTCCCCCATTTGGCACCGAAGCTTTTCTGCCTCTGCTCACATGCCTGCCATTCAGACCCAGGTGGGTGGGCTACATTGTGGGCTTTCCAGGGGATTCTTCATAATTGGGTCTTTCTGCTCTTAACACGCTCATGGCCCTGTCCTGGATCCAGTGTCCCTCACCCAGTGACTGGAAAATCACCCAGCCAGCCAAGTGGCACTGTAGAAATAGCCGTGATGCCAGAGAGCGAGTGATTTAGTTTCAGCCAGGAGTTCATTTCAAGTGTTGGAAAATGAGCTGGTCCTGACTCTCTTTTCTCTTCCTTCAGCCCTTAGCAAAATGTAGAATATTGTTGCCATTGATTGAACATGCCTATAAAAGGAGGTGAAAGTAATTTCCTGTAGCATCCTCAATGCAGATGTTTGGCACTTTGGTTGTTTTTGGTTTTCGTGTTTTGTTTTCGCTATGGCCATAATGTTTCTGTGGGAACTTTTCTAGGTAGTCTGTAGATTTCAGAATCCCAGAGCACCTTAGTCCCATTATGCTCTGGGAATTCATTAGGGACTCAGACACCATCTTTTTTTTTTTTTTTTTTTTTTTTTTTTTTTTTGAGATGGAATCTCGCTCTTGTCGCCCATGCTCAAGTGCAGTGGCGCGATCTCAGCTCACTGCAACCTCCACCTCCTGGGTTCAAGTGATTCTTCTGCCTCAGACTCCTGACTAGCTGGGACTACAGGTGCCTGTCACCACAGCCGGCTAATTTTTGTACTTTTAGTAGAGATGGAGTTGCACCATGTTGGCCAGGCTGGTCTTGAACTCCTGTCCTCAGGTGATCCACCCGTCTCAGCCTCCCAAAGTGCTGGGATTACAGGCGTGAGCCACCGCATCCGGCCTCAGCCACCATCTTAATTACATGTCTGAAGGAATGACATTTTATATTTGGCCATGAGTGAGGTGGATTTCCCTGAACTTTAGCCTTGACAATTTGATGACAGTTAGGGATATCCTTACAGCCCTAAGAGGGCCATTGACCCTGAACAGTACAACTGGGAGCTGGCCAACCTCAGCGTTTGTCACCCGTGATCAAGTCTTTCTGCTTAGCACACACTGTGGTTTTCAGTAGCATCTTTTGTTGAATGCTATTCAGATCCTGAATTATTCATAAAGGATTCCCACGTTCAGAAGGAGTGTGGACCAGATGACCTTGTTGGGGCTCGGAAAACGATGACCCAAAGTGTAGCACTTTGGCATGCTGAGTACTTTGAACTGAAGGACTTTGGAAGGGCCTCAAAGGCTGTCTCTTTCTGACCCTCTCCTGCTCTTCTTTTTCTTCCTTCCCTTTTCCCCAAGACAGGCCACAGAAAGTAGAATCCCTCTTCAAGGCAGGCCATAGAAACTAGAACCCAACTTCTCCAATACCAGCCACAAAAACCTAGGTATATAACTCTAACCTATCACCACCTTTCTGTGTAAGAGCTGGTTATAAATAAATTCTCTGGAGGTGGAGGATCAGTTGAGGCCAAGAGTTCAAGACCAGCCTGGGCAACATAGTGAGATCTAGCTCTGAAAGAAAGAAAGAAAAGAAAAGAAAGAAAGAGAGAGGGGGTGGGGGGAGAGGAGAGAGAGAAAGGAGGAAAGAGAAAGAATGAGAGAGAAGGAAAGAGAGAGACAAAAGAAGGAAGGAAGGAGGGAGAAGGAAAGAAGGAAGGAGAGGGAGGAAGGAAGGAAGGACAGAAGGAAGAAAGGAAGGAAAGGGAGGGAGGGAGGGAAGAAGGGAAGGAAGGAAAAAAGAGAGGAAGGGAGGAAGGAAGGAGAAAAATTAGCTGGGTGTGGTGGTGCACACCTGTAGTCCCAGTATTCAGGAGGCTGAGGCAGGGGGATCACTCAGGCCCAGGAGGTGGAGGCTGCAGTGAGCCGTGATTGCACCACTGCACTGCAGCTTGGGCGACAGAGTGAGACTTCATCTCAGAAACAGAAAGAAAAAAATTCTCTGCCCTACCTTGTCTAAAAGTAGGACATAAGACCCCTGTTTCCAGAGAGGTCCTGCCCTGTACCCAGGTGGAAGGAATGCCACACAGAGAGACCAGGAAGAATCCAAACAGACGGGCCTTACTGTGCTTCCCCTCTCTGTCCATCAACATTAGATCATACCCCTTGTTGTCCAGTCACATTTCTACATAGCTGTCCATTCACATCCAACCTAAGCATAGAAATAGACAGTTTTCCCTGAGTCTTTGGATCTTCTTTTTCTTCTTCTTCTCCTTCTCCCTCTCCCCCTCCTTCTCCTCCTTCTCCCTCTCCCTCTCCTTCTCCTCCTCCTCCTTCTCCTTCTCTTCTCCTTCTTCCTTCTTCTTCTTTCTTTCTTCTTCTTCTTTCTTCCTTCTTCCTCCTTCCTCCTCCTCCTTCCTCCTTCCTCCTCTGTCCTCCTTCCTCCTTCTTCCTCCTTCTTCCTCCTTCTTCCTTCTTCCTTCTTCTTCCTTCTTCTTCTTCTTTTTTTTTTTTTGAGACAGAGTTTAGCTCTTGTTGCCCAGGCTGGAGTGCAATGGCGTGATCTCGGCTCACTGCAACCTCCGCCTCCCAGGTTCAAGCGATTCTCCTGCCTCAGCCTCCCGAATAGCTGGGATTACAGGCATGCACCATCACGCCCGGCTAATTTTGTATTTTTAGTAGAGATGAGGTTTCTCTGTTGGTCAGGCTGGTCTTGAACTCCCGACATCAGGTGATCTGCCCGCCTCAGCCTCCCAAACTGCTGGGATTACAGGCGTGAGCCACCATGCCCAGCCATTAGATCTTCATTTTTGAAGGCTCCTGTGTCAAGTAAAACACTGATTAAATAAATCTGTTATGCCTCTGTCTTCTTAACCCATCCTTGTTATAGGAATGTCAGCCATGACCCTGCTAATGGGTGAGGAAAGATATTGTGCCTTTCCACCCATGCAGTCTCCCATGTCCCTTCTGTGTTGGAATGCATAAGCACTAGTGTCTTATCACCAGGGACATGTGGCCGACAAGTTCTGCCTCAGGACACAGGACCCATTTTCTGCCTCTCAGCCAAAGGATGATCAGGGTCGTAACTCCACCAGAGTCCAACTTTATATCAGAAAAAGCTCGTAGCTATGAGCAACAGAAACCATCTCTGACCACATAAGTGCAAAAGGAATTTATCGAAAGAACACTGAGTAATTTGAAAAGCAAATCACCAAGAAGACTAGATGAACAGGCTAGAAAACAGGGAAGGAAGCTGGGCACAGTGGCTCACACCTGTCATCCTGGCGCTTTGGGAGGCTGAGGCAAGCAGATCACTTGAGCCCAGGAGTTTGAGACCAGCCTGGGCAACACGGTGAAACCCTGTCTCTACAAAAATTATCCAGGTATGGTGACAGGCACCTGTAGTCCTAGCTACTCGGCAGGCTGAGGTGGGAGAATCACCTGAGCCCAGGAGGTCAAGGCTGCAATGAGCCATGATCGTGCCACTGCACTCTAGCCTGGATGACAGAGTGAGACCCTGTCTCAAAAAGAAAAAAAAAAAAAGGAAACAGGGAAGAACCAAAGGTGGCTAAAACCAAGACTGCAACCTCATCACAGACCCATCTAGTGGAGGATCTCATTGACACACTGCTGGATGCCTCCCGACCCCCAACCTTTTCCCACTAGCTAGCATGGCTAGCGCTGGACACCAGAGACCATAGCTGGGGGCTGCCATTTATGTCCCTAGATAATTGATGCCACTGCTGCCATCACCAAAGTGAATTTTCCACTCTCCTTTCATACTTTAAGCATTGCACACTCCAGAGTCATTGCACCTGGCTGGCCACGCTCTAGCTGGTAGGAAGGCTGAGGAATGCCAGTATCTGGCCCATGTGGCCCTGCCTCTTGCCAAGACCCGTATGGTGAAGCGTTCCTCAAATGTAAGAAATGGGTTCAGCTGGAAAGCAAACACATGTTCACTGCAAACTTCCAGTCTACTGGGAAGTATTTGCCAAAGATGGAAACCTTCCTGAGCTCTTCCCACTGAACCAAGTGACTTTACCCAGGACCAACTATGTAATTCGCGCAGCCCATCGCAAAATGAAAATGCAGGGCCCCTTGTTCGGAAATTATCAAGAATGTCAAGATGGCAACAGCAGAGTGTTGAATCAAGCATGGGCCCCCTTTAACATGGGAACCCTGTGTCATCTCTGAGGGTCACACACCCATAAAGCTGGCCCTAGCTTTACCTTAACAGGGCCACAAGTCCATAGATGGGTCTTGGGGATTTCCTGATATAGATAGGGTTTCATTCATACACTATACATACCTTATAAGCCCTTATGAATAGTTTGGTTTATCACCATAGGAATAAACTATGGTTGGTTTATTCCTATTCACAACTTGAGGTATAACTATAATTACAGATGCTCTTTGACTTATGAGGGGGTTATGTTCTAATAAACCCATCTTAAGTTGAAAATATCGTTAAGTTGAAAACGCTTTTAATACCCTTAATCTATTGAACATCATAGCTCGGCCTAGCCTATCTTCAAGGTGCTCAGAACACTTACATTAGCCCACAGTTGTGCAAGATCATCTGGCAACACAGTACATCACAGAGTACAATACTGGTTGTTTACTCCCATGATCATGTGGCTGGCTGGGAGCTGTACTTGCTGCTGCCACCTGGCATCACAAGAGAGTACTATACCACATATCACTAGCCCAGGAAAATAACAAAATTCAAAATTCAGTTTCTACTGAATGCATATTGCCTTTGCATCATCTCGAAGTCAAAAATTTGTAAGTGGAACCATGGTCAGGGACCATTCGTATCCCTGTTATAGTCAGAGCAACTGAGGCCAAATAAGAGTGGAGCTGTGATGCTGACCCAGCTCTTCTCTTTTTTTTTTTTTTTTTTTTTTGAGATGGAGTTTTGCTCTTGTCACCCATGTTGGAGTGCAGTGGTACAATCATGGCTCACTGCAACCTTCACTTCCCGGGTTCAAGCAGTTCTCCTGCCTCAGCCTCCCGAGTAGCTGGGATTACAGGTGCCTGCCACCACGCCCAGCTAATTTTTTTGTATTTTTAGTAGAGACAGGGTTTCACCATGTTGCCCAGGCTGGTCTCGAACTCCTGACCTCAGGTGATCCTCCTACCTCAGCCCCCCAAAGTGCAGGGATTACAGGCAGGAGCCACCGCACCTGGCCTCTTCTGACTCTTAGGTTTCCCTTTCTTTACACCCCATCACACTGCGCACCAGGAGCTCACAGGGTGGAGAACTGTCAGCATCCCCTGGAATGTGCGCCATGTTCTCTAGGTATCACCCTCCAGAGTTGTTAATTTGGAAAAAAGACCACTCACTCAATTTCAAATGAGACTTTGCTTTTCACTTCCAAGAACTGCACTGCAGGAAGGAAGAGCAGCGTTTGTGGGCTGGTACCTGGATGACCATCATGCTCTAGTTCCTTAATTAAAAACAAAGCACAGACTTTCTTGTACATACACGTACAACTGGAGTGTGTGTTTGTGTTTGTGTGTGTGTGTGTGTGTGTGTGTGTGTGAGAGAGAGAGAGAGAGACAGAGAGAGAGAGAGAGAGAGAGGGATGCCCTGAGACCTTGAGCAAGTCTTTTACTGAAATTCCCATTGCTTCAGTTTTCTCATCTGTTAAAATCTTTGGCCATGATGTCAGATCCACAAATAGGACCGATGCCTCTCCGCCCCACTGCGCCTGTGTCCCATTCCCCCAGCAGGTACCACCTCATTCTTGGGATCAGGGCTCACCTCCAGCACCTGCGTGCATTCCCATTCTTCTCGTTCCCTTTCTGCCACCTGCTCTGGTCCTCATTGTCCCGTTTGGGCCTAACTCCTTGAATGCCCAGCATATGGACTCTGCCAACTCCTGCTAATCTCCACTTCTATCAGCAAGACGCTCAGGACAGGCCTCCTCTCTTCACAGTGTTGTCTAGAGCATTCTGGAGTAACGCAATCTCCCTTCCTTTCTCTCTTCTCTTCATTTTTTCTCCAGTGCTGTGTGCGTATGTCTTTTTCTCTTTCTGGTGCCCTGAGAGTCTACCACGGTGCCTTGTACAGAGAGGCATTCGGTGATCCCACCGTGATCCCACCGTTCTTCTGATTGCCTTCTGCAAGGTCCATCTCTGTCTCCTTTTCTGTTTTTCTAGCCTTTCTCACTTTCCTTTGCCTGGACACAATGTGAATTAAAGACATGTTTTAAGAATATTTGTGGTTTATAAAATACAGAGTTATTTGACGTGTTTTTAATTTAAAAATCATAGCTCTTGAAGAAAATATAGCTCTCTTTAAAAAGTTATAATGAGTTTAATTGATTCTTATTGCTATGTAGTCTTTAATTGATTTTTTCCCCCTAAGGTTTTCTTTTTTTCTATTTTAAACCCAAGGAAGGAGAAATTTCCAAGGGTTATTAGTTCATTAGCTGTTAGAAGGAATAATTGATCTGTCAACTCAAAGGATTTATAAGGATTTAGCTCACAAAATTCATGAAAGCATTGGCATCTGTTTAAGTTCTGCCTCAAAAGAAAACATTTTCTGAAGGGGCTTCTCTTTACTTTTTGCAAGATAAAAATTAGCATCTCTCTAGTGATGAAAAGACCCCCTATTTTTTAAGATCTTCTCAATCTTAAGGAACTACAGTGTTTGTACCTACACCTGAAAAAATCGGATATGTATTTTGACCACCGAAAGAATGGATCATAAATATTATAAAGTTTTTGGTTTCTTCCAGTGTGTGTGTTTGTGTTTTTTTTTTTCCTCATAAAAGGAATGGAATACAACTAACATTTCTTCAACTTCAAATGAGGGTTTTGCCTCTTTTTTTTTTTTTTTTTTTTTTTTTTAGCAAATGCACCCAAATTGGGTTTGGTTCACAAAGGAAAGACTGACTGCAGGGCTAACAGACCCATCATTAGCCATCCCTGCCCTCTTAAATGGCCTGTCCATTCCACTGCTCACAATATAAGACTAAGGCCGTAAACAAGGGATCCAAGAGAACTCTGGACAAGAAGCATACAATGCAGTGGGATAAATTTCTTTAGCATAAATAGCAGTCTCCAAGGGTGACTGGTGTGAATGGATCCCTGCTGTGAGGGTCTCTGTGCCTGCAGAGGAGATCTGTGGCTTTAAGAGCTCTGGTCCCACCCCCTGGGCTGTGGAAGTGCTCAGCGTCCCCTGCTGGGCTTGGTCCTCAGGCCCCCTGTGGGCCTCCTCCTTCCTTTCAAGCTGTGAGTCCTAAGGAACTCAGTGACAGCTCCTCTTTCATTCTGCTGTGCAAATCCTTGAGCTGTTCCTAGTGCTTTCAAAAGGAAAATATCAGACATTTTACTTATTCTGTCCAGCAGGACCATGGAAGTCTGGTGAGACCCAGGGTTATTCCGGCAGTGAGCCCAGGGGAGATCTTCCTCTTTGTAATGACCTAGAGTTGAAATTCCCTGAGATGACCGCTAACCCGCCATTTATACTTCCTCCATCCTTCACATCATGCCCTGTGGCATGTCATCTGGGTACTGCTGAGGACTTGTGTACTGCTGGCTGGGGTCTGGATAGCCCTGGGACGAACGTATTCTGATAGAAATAAGTGAATCCAATAGTACTTGTCAAAGGTTAATTTCTTAGCAGTCATGAGCCAAAAAGTTCAGGTTCCAGAGTACATGTTTACTCTGTGAAAATCTTTTAACACACTTAAATAATGCATCTACACAGTTTTAAACAAATCAGCTGGCCCCTGCCCCATCTCTTCTTATCCCCTGTCCTGATCTCCAGAGTCAATCAGTTTGAACCATTTTTCCTTTTCCTGTTTTTTGGCGATTATTTGCATATTAATAAATGGTATATTTATGCTGGGCATGGCGGCTCATGCCTGTAGTCCCAGCACTTTGGGAGGCCAAGGCAGGCAGATCACAAGGTCAGGAGTTTGAGAACAGCCTGGCCAACATGGTGAAACCCCGTCTCTACTAAAGATATAAAAAATTAGCCAGGGTGGTGGTGTGCACCTGTAATCCCAGCTACTCAGGAGGCTGAGGCAGGAGAACCGCTTGAACCTGGGAGGCGGAGGTTGCAGTGAGCTGGGATTGCGCCAGTGTACTCCAGCCTGGGCGACAGGGGGAGACTCTATCTCAATAAATAAATAAATAAGTAGTATATTTATATGTGTTATTTTTTTTCTTTTTCTATCTCAGCTCACTGCAAACTCCACCTCCTGGGTTCAAGCAATTCTCCTGCCTCAGCCTCCCAAGTAGCTGGGATTACAGGCATCTGCCACCACGCCCGGCTAATTTTTGTAGTTTTAGCAGAGACAGGGTTTTACCATGTTGGCCAGGCTGATCTCGAACTCCTGACTTCAGGTGATCTGCCCATCTTGGCCTCCCAAAGTGCTGGGATTACAGGCGTCAGCCACTGCGCCTGGCCTATTTTTGATTTTTCAACTTTAGACATTACCTATTGATTTCCTGATATAGATAGGGTTTCATTCATACGCTCTACATACCTCTCCCCTTTCCCATGTCGTTATTTTTATTCCTCTGTGTATTGCTATTGTAACTTTAATACACTTAAAGCTCTATTTCCTTTTCCTGTATCACTGATTATAGACAGTATGCCATCTCACCTTTCTTCTACCTCTTCTCTCGTCTCTCTGCCCTTCATTTCTATCAGCTGTTGATAACGTTTGCACTCCAATTTAACTAGAGTTAAGTTTTTTTTTTTTTTTGGAGGCCCCGTTGGGATCACAATTAAGATTTCTTTCTTTTTTTTTTTTGGAAAATAGTCTTGCTCTGTCCCAGGCTGGAGTGCAGTGGCATGATCTTGGCTCACTGCAACCTCCGCCTCCTGGGTTCAAGTGATTCTCCTGCCTCAGCCTCTTGACTAGCTGGGACTAGAGGTGCACGCCACCACACCCAGCTAACTTTTGTATTTTTTTTTTTTTAATAGAGATGAGGTTTCACCATGTTAGCCAGGCTAGTCTTGAACTCCTGATCTCAGGTGATCCACCCACTTTAGCATCCCAGAGTGCTGGGATTACAGGTGTGAGCCACCATGCCCGGCCACAAGGAAGATTTCTATACTGTACCTTTAAGTTGGTTCCAGAAGTTAAGAGCCAGTAAATAACTTTCATATTATTATGTGTATATGAATATTATACAGTGTAATACCAAGAAATGAGCTATGGTTAATGATATTTCCCTCCCTGTAATTCCCAAATCATAATCCTTGTGGTAATCAAAGGAGAATATTAACATTTATTGTCTTTTCTTCCCATCACTGGTTTCAAACCATGCCATGTTTTAATTTGCTAGCTTTTTTTGTTTTCTTTTTTTTTTTTTTGAGATGGAGTCTTGCTCTGTCACCCAGGCTGGAGTGCAGTGGTGCCATCTTGGCTCACTGTAACCTCCACCTCCCGGGTTCAAGCGATTCTCCTGCCTCAGCCTCCCCAGTAGCTGGGATTACAGGTGCGTGCCACCATGCCCAGTTATTTTTTGTATTTTTAGTAGAGACGGGATTTCACCATGTTGGTCAGGCTGGTCTTGAACTCCTGACCTCGTGATCTGCCCACCTCGGCCTTCCAAAGTGCTGGAATTACAGGTGTGAGCCACACAGCACCTGGCCAGTAAAATTTTTATTTTTTATTTTTTAAACATCACCTTTAGTATTTCCTAGAGTTTCCAGTTTGCTTTTATTTTATTTTATTTATTTATTTATTTATTTTTGAGATGGACTCTCACTATGTTGCCCAGGCTAGAGTGCAATGGCAAGATCTCAGCTCCTGCAACCTCTGCCCCCTGGGTTCAAGTGATTCTCCTGTCTCAGCCTCCCGAGTAGCTCGGATTACAAGTGTGTGACACCAGGCCTGGCTAATTTTTGTATTTTTAGTAGAGACAGGGTTTCACCATGTTGGTCAGGCTGGTCTTGAACTCCTGACCTCGTGATCTACCCACCTCGGCCTCCCAAAGTGCTGGGATTACAGGTGTGAGCCACTGTGCCTGGCCGGCTTTCATTTTATTTTGAAATTTTTTTCTGAACCGAATCTTCCTTTTTCCCTGGAGACCAAGATCCTCAAACCCTCTGGCTTCTTGTTCCAGTCTGGATGGGATATGACTGTAAATCTTGTTTCCTGTTGAATCAAATGATGTGCTGCTGTTGCATTTTCTGTATTGTATAACTTAAATTTTCCAGGTATCGATAATGCAGTTTTTTCTTTTCTTTAGTGTTTGTTTTGTTTTGTTTTTGTTTTTGTTTTTGAGACAGAGTCTTGCTGTGTCGCCCAGGCTGGAGTGCAGTGGCACAATCTCGGCTCACTGCAACCTCTGCCTCCCAGGTTCACGCCATTCTTCTGCCTCAGCCTCCTGAGTAGCTGGGACTACAGGCACCCGCCACCACACCCAGCTAATTTTTTGTATTTTTAGTAGAGACAGGGTTTCACTGTGTTAGCCAGGACGGTCTCGATCTCCTGACCTTGTGATCCGCCCGCCTCGGCCTCCCAAAGTCCTGGGATTTTCTTTAGTTTTTAATGCACTTGTGGGTAATTTTTTAATATATCAACATCTCTTAAAATGCTTCACAGTACTAATTTCCACGTGGAAAAATTCATCAGATAATCTCTAGGGGAATGTATTTATTCATTTATTTCTTTGGTTGTTTGCTAGTTTGTCATTTACTCTTTATTGATTTTCCTGGAGAGCTCCCTTCTACATGCTATCTTCTGCTCCAATCCGCACTGGCTCTGCACCCCTGTTTTGAGAACTGCTTGTCATTCTGGCATTTCTATTCATTGTTATCCTGTGTGATTATTCTGTTTCTCTGATCTCATTTTTTCCCTTTTATCACAGTTTTCACATTTTGTTGAACTATATTCTAAACCTTCTAAAACAGGGGGGCAAGAGTGGTATGCCTTATGAATTCTCACATGTGGAAAAATGCTTTATACCATCCTCATGCTTGATAGTTTTACTGGGTATAGAATTCTAAATAATAGTTTATCTTCGGAGCTTTAATGTCTGATCATCTCCAGTACTGATGAGAACTCTGACACGAGTCCAATTTGTTTGTGACCTGTTTTTATTTATCTTGTTACTGCCGTATTGTTCGTTTTTCACTCTGGAAGCTTTTAGGGCCTTTCTTTTGTTGCTGTTCTGAAATGTCAAAACATGGTTAGGGTGTGGGTCATTTACTTTCCAAGTGCTCTTTCTTATTCTAGATTATTCCTTCTCCATTGGATTCTGTCATTATTTTTATGGGTACAATATTTTTTTCTAGTTTCTTCAAGAATACTAACAAGAGTCTTCCACATGTTGTATTTTGTTTTCAAGTTCTCTTCTGTTATCAGAATTACTTCTGTGTCCTGGGTGGGGAACATCACACACTGGGGCCTGTTGGTGGGTGGGGGGCTGGGGGAGGGATAGCATTAGGAGAAATATCTCATGTAAATGATGAGTTGATGGGTGCAGCAAACCAACATGGCACATAAATACCTATGTAACATACCTGCACGTTGTGCACATGGACCCTAGAACTTGAAGTATTTAAAAAAAATTATTTCTGTGTCCTCTAGAGTCAGTTTTTCTATTTGCTTATTCTGTGCCTTCTATAGCATGCCATAGACTTTGCTCAAGTGTGTGATGTATCTTCAGAGCGAGTTCATATGTAAGAATTGGGAAGTAGAAAGGCCAATGGGAAGCTCTATGTAAATGTGGATGGAGCTGGCTGATTGATGGGCCTCGCATCCAGGTCACTGGGGAAACTCCCTGCCCCAACCCTGACATGGTCCAGAAAGCAGAGGACTCTGTTCTAGGACAGCAACACCTACCTACACTAGCAGCTCCAGTCTCCCAGAGATAGTTTGCTTGATTTGTGTAGAGAAAACAGCCCCACTTTTTTTTTTTTTTTTTCTTTTTCTGAGACAGAGTCTCACTGTCACCCAGGCTGGAGTGCAGTGGTGCAATCTCGGCTCACTGCAAGCTCCACCTCCCGGGTTCACGACATTCTCCTGCCTCAGCCTCCCAAGTAGCTGGGACTACAGGTGCCTGCCACCATGCCCAGCTAATTTTTTTGTATTTTTAGTAGAGACGGGGTTTCACTGTGTTAGCCAGGATGGTCTCGATCTCCTGCCCTTGTGATCTGCCCGCCTCAGCCTCCCAAAGTGCTGGGATTCCAGGCGTGAGCCACCGCGCCCGGCCAACAGCCTTGCTTTTTGTGGATAGATAAGACACTTATTTGCCTGGCGCGGTTTTATCACTTGGTAAGCGGGAGGGTCTGTGTAAAGATCTTCAGTGAATCCTGTTTTCAGCCCCATTTCTCACTCATGCTTTGCCATCTCTACATCTCAAGGGTGTGCTTGGCAGGTTGGTGCCCTCTTCAGTGCCGGCTCTTCCTCATGTGTTTTCTAGGCCGTACTACTTCCTTGATTTGAGTAGTCAGCCCTATCCCATTTACGTTCTGTCTTCCAGAAATGTATAGAGCTCTTTCTTTCACCACTGGTTCTTTTTCAGTTCTCTTCATTGTTACAGAGCTATGGCTCTTTTATGCCTCTTGTCCTCTCTTGTGTTAGATCATATCTTTTCCAGAGTAAATCCAGTCTAATGTCCCTTATTCCTTTCATCTACACAAATATATCATACAGAAATCTTATAGACACCTTAGTGCGTGAGATAGGAAAAAAGAACCGACTGTCTTTTCCTATTCCACTCTCCTCACCCGCAATGCTTCACTTCTGATACCAGGTGTGAATGATTTTCCTTGCTCATCAGTTCTCTGGCGGATACCAATTAGATGTCCTGTAATTTAATGCAATGGACACTATCTACCTGGAATTAGAGTTAAATCTCACAGGGCCCCTAAGACTGTCCCCTACTTCAAATGTCAATCACAAGTCAAAGTGTCTGGAATTTCTCAATGACCAGCTGTAAATTGGGGGTTCCCAGGACCCCTTCCTTGGGTTCGATTATTTGCTTAAAATGGGTCACGGAACTCCAAGAAACACTTCATTTACTTTACTCATTTATTGTAAAAGGATACAATGAACAGGCAGATATAAGAGATGCACAGGGTAAGGTATGGGTAGGGGCACAGAGCTTCCATGCACTCTCTGGGCATGCCACCCTCGCAGTACCGCCACATGGTCAGCAGCCTGGAAGCTGTCCAAACCCTGTACTTTTGGGTTTTTGTGGAGGCTTCATTACATAAACATGGTAGATTAAATTATTGACCATTGGTGATCAACTCAACCTTCAGCTGCTCTCCTCTTCCCGGAGGTCATGGGATGGGGCTGAAAGTTCAAACCTCCTAATCATACAGTTGCTTCCTCTGTTCCCCCATCCTGATGCTATCTAGGAGCCCCCAGTCAGCCATCATCTCATTAACATTCAGAAAGACACTTATCACTTTAGAGATTCCAAAGGTTTTAGGATCAGCTGCCAGGAAATTAAACAAGGCCAAATATATATTTCTCATTATAAATTACAGTATCATACTTAGACAAAGTTCAGGGCCCATCCACATGTCCCAGATAACATCTGAACTTAGACAAGTCATCACGTGTCCTTTGAGCATGTCCTACAGTAGACATTATAGGGGTGTCAACTGATGAATCACGAGGTTCATATACTTGGAAAGGAGAGCTTTATTACTTTTTTTTTTTTTTTAATTGGAGATGGAGTCTCACTCTATCACCCAGGCTGGAGTGCAGTGGCGTGATCTCGGCTCACTTGCAACCTCTACCTCCCGGGTTCAAGCCTTTCTCCTGCCTCAGCCTCCCAAGTAGCTGGGACTACAGGTACACACCACCACACCCAGCTAATGTTTTTTGTATTTTAGTAGAGACAGCGTTTCACCATGTTACCCAGGCTGGTCTCAAACTCCTGAGCTCAGGCAGTCTGCCTACCTCAGCCTCCTGAAGTGCTAGGATTACAGGCGTGAGCCACCATGCCCACCAGCTTTATTTTTGTAGGCCGGCCATCCTGCAGGCTGGGAAGCATAGCCTCCGATAGAAACCAAAAGCAGGCACTTTGAGAGAGGGAAGCATGAGACAGGAATTTATGCTGAACAGGTTGGCTAAATATACATAGTCAACATGTTATAGGAGTTATGAATATTTATGAAAAGGGTTGTGCATGTGTAGTAAACAAATGCATGTGACACGCATCCCACATTTTCCCTCTGGGGTGGAGACTTAGCATTTAAATGCATTAGAATTGGGCTCTTTACATCAAAGGGTGAGATGGAAGACTCAGAAGCATGCTGCGTGCAGCCTCTGTAAACTGGCCAGAACCTGTCCATGGTCCATGGTCTCTTACCAGGAGGGAATGCTGGTCAGTTGGGTAAATCAGCAGTGGAGCAAGTCTCAAAAGGGCTGCTTGTTTTTTTTTTTTGTTGTTTTTGTTTTTTTAACTCTTAGGAAAGAAAGCCTTATGGTGGTTAGTGAGGGAGGGGGTATAATGAGGTGTCTGACTTCCCATCCTGTCATGGCCAGGAACTCAGGTTTTTTTTGTTTTTTGTTTTTGTTTTTGTTTTTTTCTTGTTTTTGTTACTATTGTTGTTGTTGTTGGTTTTTTTTTTTTTTTTGAGACAGAGTCTCACGTTGTCGCCAGGCTGGAGTGCAGTGGCACGATCTCGGCTGACTGCAAACTCCACCTCCCGGATTCAAGCGATTCTCCTGCCTCAGCCTCCCAAGTAGCTGGGACTACAGGTGCATGCCACCACGACTGGCTAATGTTCGTATTTTTAGTAGAGACGGGGTTTCACCATGTTGGCCAGGATGGTCTCGATCTCTTGACCTCGTGATCTGCCCGCCTCGGCCTCCCAAAGTGCTGGGATTACAGGTGTAAGCCACCGTGCCCAGCCAGGAACTCAGTTTTTTAAGGCTTCTCTGGGCTACCCTTGGCCAAGGGGAATCCATTCAGTCGGCTGGGGGGCTTAGGATATTCCTCAGGGTATATACAGATATAAAAGATAAGCGGCCGGGCATGGTGGCTCATGCCTGTAATCCCAGCACTTTGGGAGGCCAAGGCAGGTGGATCACTAGGTCAGGAGATCGAGACCATCCTGGCTAACACAGTGAAACCCCGTCTCTACTAAAAAAAAAAAAAATACAAAAAATTAGCCGGGCATGGGAGTGGGGGCGCCTGTAGTCCCAGTTACTCGGGAGGCTGAGGCAGAAGAATGGTATGAACCTGGGAGGCGGAGCTTGCAGTGAGCCGAGATCATATCACTGCACTCCAGACTGGGAGAGAGAGTGAGACTCCGTCTCAAAAACAAAACAAAACAAAAAAACAGATATAAAATATATATTCCCAATCTCATGATCTAATGGGAAGTCTGTAGTATAAGTATAGCAAGACCCAGAATTATGAGCATTTTTAGAAGTTTAGCATTTTGGTTAGAATAAACCTCAAAACAAATTGGCTGACTACCTGGCAATTCTATTCCTCACGGACATTGGAAATCACCAAATGATATAATAGAGGGCATGAAAGTGTTAATTCATCTTTCATTCATCAAACATTTTTAGAGAGCAAGGAGTTACACTGGTTGCTGGGAAAAAAATACAGAAGTCAGTAGATCATATACACTGCCTTAGAAAGCTTAGTTCAGTAGGGGAGTTAAGACGTGTATATAAATAACTGTTAAACCAAATGAGATCAGTGATGTCAGAGAAATGTAGGTAAACTCTTATGAGAACTTAAAGTAAATAGAGAGACCTATAGGTAAACTGTTATGGGAATTTAAAGGGAGAGGCTGGGCACGGTGGCTCATGCCTGTAATCCCAGCACTTTAGGAGGCCGAGGCAGGTGGATCACGAGGTCAGGAGATCGAGACCATCCTGGCTAACATAGTGAAACCCCGTCTCTACTAAAAATACAAAATATTAGCCGGGTGTGGTGGCACGTGCCTGTAGTCCCAGCTACTCAGGAGGCTGAGGCATAAGAATCGCTTGAACCCAGGAGGTGGAGGTTGCATGCAGTGAGCTGAGATCACACCACTGCACTCCAGCCTGGGCGACAGAAGCGAGACTCCGTCTCAAAAAGACTTAGAGATAGAAGTGACCCTTACAGGGTGTTAGCTGTGCACAGGGGATCAGATCTTGTGATGGGCATGGCAGCTGGGGACATTTGGCTCTTTGTGTTCAGCAGATTCTGGCACCTAGTTCCTACTGTTCTCTGTAACCCTTGGCAGACAGCTGCAGCAGTGGCATTTCTGTAGGAACTGTCCTGTTGGATTATTGGATCTATTGGTGCTGATTGTGAATCCTCAAAACTTGGTTGGGTTTTCTGCTTGTCCTGAAGGTTTTATAAGCTCCTAATTCCCTTTTTTAAAAAGCCCTCTTTTGCTAAACCGGCTGCAGTGGATGTCGACATCTTCAACGAAAACCCCTCACTGATACGTTTTGACTTTCTTATCACCCACCCATGTTCCTTGAGGATTTTGACACTCAATTCACAGTGACCTCTTATTTTTATTTATTTCTTTTTTTTAGACAGAGTTTCACTCTTGTTGCCCAAACTGGAATGCAATGGCGTGATCTCGGCTCACCATAACCTCCGCCTCCCAGATTGAAGTGATTCTCCTGTCTCAGTCTCCTGAATAGCTGGGATTACAGGCATGCGCCACCATGCCTGGCTAATTTTGTATTTTTCAGTAGGGAGGGGGTTTCACCATGTTGGTCAGGTTGGTCTCAAACTCCCAACCTCAGGTGATCCACCTACCTCAGCCTCCCAAAGTGCTGGGATTACAGGCCTGAGCCACCACGCCTGGCCCACAGTGACCTCTTTAACCCATTTCCCTGGAGGATGCCTGGGGACGCAAGATTCTACCTTGACGATCTATCCAACACTCTAGGTCATAATTTCTCCATCTCCGTGACTGCAGAGTGGAGTTAGTACATCTGGAACTGTTCTACCTCTAACTCTAAAAATTCCTCTCTGTAATGTAACCACCTGTCATTCCACTTTCTAACTCCACTCAGACCTGCTCTTTAACCCAAGTGACCTTCCGTCTCATAATTCTGCCTTGCTCTCCTAACAAATCAGTCCAGCTTGCGTGATTTCTGTATAAGCCTCAACTCAGTGAGTATTCAACAGCCTTCCCACCAGCACTGAATTTCCTTACTCTTTTAACCTGTGCATTTACTATCTTTTATGATATCCCTTAAAATGTCTCATGCTTGCCAGACGCGGTGGCTCACGCCTGTAATCCCAGCACTTTGGGAGGCCGAGGCAGGTGGATCACCTGAGGTCGGGAGTTTGAGACCAGCCTGACCAACGTGGAGAAACCCCATCTCTACTAAAAATACAAAATTAGCTGGGCGTGGTGGCGCATGCCTGTAATCCCAGCTACTCAGGAGGCCAAGGCAGGAGAATCACTTGAACCCAGGAGGTGGAGGTTGCGGTGAGCCAAGATCACGCCACTGCACTCCAGCCTGGACAACAAGAACGAAACTCCATCTCAAAACAAAAAACAAAAAAAAAAAGAGTCTCATGCTTATATAGGTTTTTTTATGTGTTTAATAAGAATTTAACGAAGCTGGGCGCAGTGGCTCACACCTGTAATCCCAGCACTTTAGGAGGCTGAGGCAGGCAAATCACAAGGTCAGGAGTTCGGACCAGCCTGGCCAACAGGTGAAACCCCGTCTCTACTAAAAATACAAAAAATTAGCTGGGCATAATGGCGGGCACCTGTAATCTCAGCTACTCGGGAGGCTGAGGCAGGAGAATAGCTTGAACCTGGGATGGGGAGGTTGCAGTGAGCCAAGATCACGCTGCTGCACTCCAGCCTGGGCAACAGAGCAAGACTCCGTCTCAGAAAAAAAAAAGAAAAAAAGAGAATTTAACACTAACACTTATAAAGTACTTACCATGTTATCAGGCACTGTTTCAAGTACTTCGATGTATTATTTCATTGAATCCTCACAACCATCCAATGAGATAGGGACATGTAATATCCACATTCGCAGATGAAGAAACTGAAGCACAGAAAGGTTCAGTGATTTACCCAAGGCCACACAGCTAGTAAGTGGTTGAACTGGGCTTCAGACTGACTGTGTTCTTAATAACTAGACTCTGTTTATATTCCGTCAGTCTATTTTAATCACAGTTCAAATAGGGATGCCAAGATATATGTGCCTCATTTCATGGATATTAAAAACATTTCTTTCTATTTAACTATAAATGTGATTATTATCTCACTGTTAATATTACATATTGCAGTTTCTAAAAGCAGTTCTTCATTAATATATACACCAAGTTTTTTTAGTGAAAATTGTTTCTTTCTGTCTTACTTTCTTGCTGTGCATTCTCATTTGAATCTCAATTCTGTTGTGAAATACATATCATTCCATTGCAGATACATATTTCAGGCAGCTGCGAATAGCCAGGGGGATGGGTTTTCTGTATTACCCCACTGACTTCTCCTCTTTTTTTTTTTTTTTTTGAGACGGAGTCTTGCTCTGTCTACCAGGCTGGAGTGCAGTGGCGCAATCTCAGCTCACTGCAACCTTCGCCTCCTGGGTTCAAGCAATTCTCCTGCCTCAGCCTCCTGAGTAGCTGGGATTACAGGTGCACACCACCACACCTGGCTAATTTTTGTATTTTTAGTAGAGATGCGGTTTCACCACGTGGGTCAGGCTGGTCTCGAACTCCTGACCTTGGGATCCGCCCACCTCGGCCTCCCAAAGTGCTAGGATTACAGGCACGAGCCATTGCACCCGGCCGACTCCTCCTCTTTCAAAATCTTCAATTCTGTTCCATCCAGGAATGTCTACTCCCATAAGTGAAGTACAGCAATTTGAGATATCAAACTAGGATTGTGTTCTCTACTGTCTTCCAAGATAAGTCTAGTATAGTATTTAGACTTTGGGTTCCAAAATCAGTGTAGATCTGAATCCCAGCTCTAACATCGAGACCTTGGGTAAGTTACTTAACCTCTCCAAGCTTCAGGTATTTCATTTATAAAAATTGGAATAGCCTTACTATAAATCAAATGAGAACAGATCTCCGTGGACCACCCCTCCCCAACCCCACAAGATTCATCTCAGCCCATCCTGTCCCACTCTCCTCCCAAAACAGGTGCACACTCTTTGCTCACATACAAAAGCAGCTCCAAGAATTTTGATAAATTATAGCCTTTACTGAAGGTTTTGTATTGAGACAAGAGCAGGTTACATTGTACCTCACAAAGCAGATCTTCACTTTAAGCAGACAGGTGGGGGCAAGACTGAATTCCTCCAGGTAGTGAATAGTCTATTTATAAGGAAGAAGCAGATGTGTTTTATTCTATCAAAAAGGCTCAGCTTTACTTAGAGAGTTAGCAATTCCTCGCGTATTTCCAAGAGCGATTTTAAGTGAGTGCACTGCTGTATTTTGGAATGCCTGAGGTTGCAATCTGAATCTGCAATTCAGTAGCTGGGAGTAGAAAGTCAACGCTGATACTAACAGTCTCCACCACGAAGTTCTCTTATTAGGATTTTGGTTATCAGGGTGCCTGTTTTTTTGTGTGTGTGTTTGTATGTTGTTTTTTTTCCCCCTTTTGCCAGAAAAATGAGGGTTCATTTTCTGTCTCCAGCTCATGGTTACATTCATTTAAGTTACTTTCCTAGACTTTTTCTTTCCGAAACATCATTTCAGGCTGTTCGTCAACTTGACTAATAAGAGTCAACTTGACTAATAAGAGTCAACTTGACTATTGACAAATATTTGCTATAGGAAATACTTCTTAGAGAGTATATATTTTGTCATAATAGATTTGAACAAGGCTGTTAATCAAATATGAAATGGTTTCTGTTGATATGGAGTTTATGAAGTTAATCCAAGGAAGTCAGTAAGACCCTATTTTTCTAGAGTTATATGTTATTGGTTTTATTTTAATATTTGTACTTTTCCTATTTTAGCAAAACAGTACAGTATTTAAAAATCTTACAAGTCTCATGACCCCTTCCCTTTCCTTTAATTTGCTTCGTATATGATGACTCTCACTCATCAAAACTACAGAACTCACTGTTTAAAAAGTTAAGTGAAAATTCAGCGGAGTGGGAGTATTTATTGCTTCTAAAGGAGGTTCTTCATTGTACATTACCCAGGATCCAGTAATGAATGTGTACTATCAGGGGCCAGGGATTTAGGGGGATGAATTTCCCAGAGTTTAATCATTTCATAAGGCCTCCGAGTGTGACTTTTTCCCCAATAATCTACTTATCTCCGTAATTTACCCCTCCCACCGCATTGCAAGGAAAATGAGTCTCCCAGGTTGTTTGCATGATAAGTAGCTGGGAATTGTGTGAGCCTTTCAAGAAGAAGCCCTGAGTTAATTGTAGCAGCCTGAGCTAATGGTTTCCCATGTTAGCTGGCAGGTTAAGTGAAGAAGAGGGCTTGAAAACACCCTTTATCACAAGTACCGTGCATTTGAAAGCTGAAATCTCAAAAATGTTTGCTTCGTGGAAGATATTTTCCGTTACAATATAAATGGGTGAGAAAAATGTCCTTCTAGAGATAGGACTAACAGTTTTGCAAAGAGCTCTGGATATTGGCTCTTTGGAAGAATGGGGAAGGTTCTTGTTTTCTTTTTTTCAAAGGATCCCCCTAATTTGCCACCCCTTACCCCCCTTATTAGTCAAGTCAGAATTTAAAGAATAAGCTGCTTATTGGAAGCAAACAACTAGAAAAATCACTTTTGAAAAAAAAAGAAAACTAGGCTTCCTGAAAATTTCTGATTGTATTTTTTTAGGTTCCTTTTATGTTTATCCTTGGGGTTTTTAACACCATGTCAATTATGTTGGGGCTTTGCAAACGATACCCCAAAATATGGTGCTTTGACATTCTGTGTACTTTGAACTGAAGGACATTGGAAGGGCTTCAGAAGCAAAGTCTGTTTCTGACCTTCTCCTGCTTCCCTTTCTGCCCAAGGCAGGCCATAGAAACTAGAATTCCTTTTTTTTTTTTTTTTTTTTTTTGACGGAGTTTCACTGTTGTCCTCCAGGCTAGAGTGCTATGGCACGATCTCGGCTCACTGCAACCTCTGCCTCCCAGGTTCAAGCAATTCTCCCGCCTCAGCCTCCGAAGTAGCTGGGACTACAGGCGTACGCCACCATGCCCAGCTAATTTTTGTATTTTTAGTAGAGACAGGGTTTCACCATCTTGGCCAGGCTGGTCTCGAACTCCTGACCTCATGATCCACCCACCTCGGCCTCCCAAAGTGCTGAGATTACAGGCGTGAGCCACCACGCCTGGCTGTAATTCCTTTTCACCAAGGTGAGTCATAGGAACTAGAACCTTTCTCCCTCAAAACGTAGAAATAATCCTCTAATTCTACTCTGCCTTTCTGTGTAGGAGCTGGCCATAAAGAAATTCCCTGACCTACCTTGTCTGAAAGTAGATCATAAGACCTTCATTCCAAAGGGGTCCTGCCCTATCCCCGGGAGGAAGGAATGTCACACAGACAGACCAAGAGGAATCTGAGCAGACAGGTCCTGCGGGGTTTCCCCACTCAGTCTATTACTATTAGATCACACCGTCTTTGTTTGATCACATTTCTACATGGCTGTCCACTCTTCATTGAATCTAAGCATAAAAATGGACATTTTCCCCTTGGGTCTTTGGGTCTTCATTGCTGAAGGCCCCCACGTCATATACAACTTTGATTAAATAAATCTGTTGTGCTTTTCTATCGCTAACCTCCGTCTTCTTGGCCTCTCTGTGTAGCTTTCCTTTCTCCCAGGTATGGGGCAGAAACCCTTTGGAATGAGGGTCTTCAAGGGAGAAGGGAGAGAGTGACCTTTCTAGGTTTTATAGCTTGCTTTTGGGGGAGAAGAGTTCTAGCTTCTAAGACCAGCCTCTGGGAAGAGGAATTCTGGCTTCTGTGACTCAGAGGACAAAGAGGGGCAGGAAACAGGAGGATGGGAGAAGGTCAGAAAGGCCCTGCTTTTCTGATGCCTCCCAGTCTCCCTCAGTTCAAAGTACTCAGCATGCCAAAGTGCCATACTCTGGGGTATCGCGTTCTGATCCCTGACGGGCACCTAAGAATAAACAATAGTGGGAAACTGTTAATTCCACCCCGCTTCCAGGCCCTAAGGAGTAAGAGGGAGAAAATAGTGTTACTAGAACTCAGTAGGAGATCACAGCAGACAGGAAATTTGCTTAAAAGGGGATGCAGCCATTGCCAGAACCACTGCTGATGCAAGAAGAGAACAGGAGAAGCAACTCCAATCCCCCAGCTTTAGCCTTTTGACCTCTGACCTCCAGCCAGTGCCTCCTTTGGCTGACCCGAGAGGAAGACCGAAGTCAGGAGAGCCCAGGTGTTGCCCCATGTGGGGGTCAGCCCTCCCCCAAGCAGGACATAGAAAAGGTGGAGAAACTGGCCAGGGAGGCAGTCAGGATCGTCAGCCTAGTGATGGAATTCACATTTATGGTTTTTTATTTGTTTTGGTGGGGGGGATGGCAAAAAATAGTTGTAAGTACATAAATGATGCAGCACAGTGGCACTGATGATTTATAAGACCTTGGTAAACGAGTCATTTTATTTATTTATTTACTTACTTTATTTATTTATTTTTTGAGACGGAGTCTTGCTCTGTCCCAGGCTGGAGTGCAGTGGCAGGATCTCAGCTCACTGCAACCTCTGCCTCCCAGGTTCCAGGTATTCTCCTACCTCAGCCTCCCGAGTAGCAGGGATTACAGGCATGCACCACCACGCCCAGCTAATTTTTGTATTTTTAGTAGAGATGGGGTTTCACCATGTTGGCCAGGCTGGTCTCAAACTGCTGACCTCATGATCCTCCCTCCTCAGCCTCCCAAAGTGCTGGGATTACAGACGTGAGCCACCATGCCCGGCGTAAATGATTCATTTTAATTGTCAAAACCTGCAGTTTTACTTCTTAAATTCCTTATTTGTTTTTGTTTGTTTGTTTGTTTGAGACAGAGTCTCGCTTGGTTGCCCAGGCGTGAGTGTAGTACTGCTATCTGGGCTCACTGCAACCTCCGCCTTCTGGGTTCACGTGATTCTCCCGCCTCAGCCTCCCAAGTAGCTGGGATTACAGGCATGCACCACCACGCATGGCTATTTTTTTTTTTTTTTTTTTTTGTATTTTTAGTAGAGACGGGTTTTCACCATGTTGGCCAGGCTGGTCTTGAACTCCTGACCTTAGTTGATCCACCCACCTCAGTCTCCCAAAGTGCTGGGATTACAGGTGTGAGATACCGTACCTGGCCCTTAATTTGTTTTTTATTTTGAGTATTTACTTCAATCACCAATACGATGAACAACATCTACGCTGAGGAATTTGATTCCCCGCTCCCTGTCTTCTCCACTCCCTCTCCTTCCCTAAGTGAGTAACTGCTTTGAGAAAGTTTTCAGGTCTGTTTCGCTTAACAACAGGGGTGTGTTCTGAGAAATGAGTCATTAAGTGATTTTGTTGTGTGAGCATCACAGAGTGTACTGACACAAACCTAGATGACATAGCCTACTACACACTTTGGCTATATGGTATGGCCTGTTGCTCCTTGGCTCCTGAACACTGTATTACTATGCAGAATATTGTAGACAGTTGTAACACAATGATAAATATTTATGTATCTAGACGTATAAATAGTATAATAAAAGTACAACATAAAGGATTTTAAAATGGTGCACCTGTGGCCAGGCACAGTGGCTCATGGCTGTCATCCCAGCACTTTGGGAGGCTGAGGTGGGAGGATCACAAGGTCAGGAGTTCAAGACCAGCCTGACCAACATGGTGAAACCCCGTCTCTTCTAAAAATACAAAAATTAGCCGGGAATGGTGGTGCGCATCTGTAATCTCAGCTACTCAGGAGGCTGCGGCAGGAGAATCGCTTGAACCTGGGAGGCGGAGATTGCAGTGAGCCAGAATCATGCCACTGCACTCCAGCTTGGGTGACAGAGCAAGACTCCATCTCAAAAAAAAAAAAAAAAAAAAAAAAGATGCACCTGTATAGGGGACCTGTATAGGGCACCTGTAATCTTATGAGACCACCATGATATATGCTGTCCACTGTTGACCACAGCATCACTACGCATACATCACCATACAAGCAAATCAAGTGCATATAGAGGTGCTCCTCAACTTACAATGCAGTTACATCCCAATAAATCCATCGTGGGTTGAAAATACCATTAATTGAGAATGCATTTAATACACTTAACCTACGCAACATCATAGTTTAGCCTAGCTTACCTTAAATGTACTCAGGACACTGACATTAGCCTACAATTGGGCAAAATCATCAAGCACAAGTCTTTTTTACAATATTTAATATCTCATGTAATTTGGCTGGGAGCGGTGGCTCACACCTGTAATCCCAGCACTTTGGGAGGCTGAGGCAGGTGGACCACGAGGTCAGGAGTTCAAGACCAGCCTGGCCAACATGGTGCAACCCCATCTCTACTAAAAATACAAAAATTAGCCAGGCGTGGTGGAGCATGCCTGTAATCCCAGCTACTTGGGATGCTGAGGCAGGAGAATCGCTTGAACCCAGGAGGTGGAGGTTGCAGTGAGCCGAGACCGCGCCACTGCACTCCAGCCTGGCAACAGAGCGAGACTCCATCTCAAAAAATAATAATAATAATAATATTTAATATCTCATGTAATTTATTGAATACTATACCGAAAGTGAAAAACAGGATGGTTCTGTGAGTCCTCACTGTATACAGCTGAAATCACCATACTAAAGTGAAAAAGTCGTTAAGCCAAACCATCATAAGTCAGGGACTGTATATATATATATATATACATATTTTTTTTTTCGCCCATATATGAAAGGTAGCATATTGTGAACACTCATCTGTACCTAGCACATACATTCTTTTATATGTGTAGAGGTATAGCTAAAGGATGGTTCCCAGAGTGGAAATTTTGATCAATTTTACCAGATTGCCCTCCAAAGTGGTTTTATACTCCCAAAAGCATTGTATAAGACTATCGCCTCACAGTCTCGTGGAAAGATTATGGCACTCAGCTTGTGGGATTTTGCCAGTCTGATAGAGGAAAAAATATTATTTCATTGTATTAAGTTGAACCACATGAAATTACCATTTGTGTAGGTCAGAAATCGTAGAACATTGGTAATTCATATGATTAAACCTAAGAGCTTTATTTTGTATTTTTCGTTTTCTTTTTTCTTTCTTTTTTCTTTTTTTTTTTTTTTTTTTTTTGAGACAGTTTCGCTCTTGTTGCCCAGGCTGGAGTGCAATGGCACGATCTTGGTTCGCTGCAACAAGAGATTCTTCTGCCTCAGCCTCCCGAGTAGCTGGGATTACAGGCATGCGCCACCACGCCAGACTAATTATTTGTATTAATTTATTTTCATTTTTTTGTAGAGACGAGGTTTCTCCATGTTGGTCCGGCTGGTCTCAAACTCCTGACCTCAGGTGATCTGCCCACCTTGGCCTCCCAAAGTGCTGGGATTACAGGCGTGAGCCACAGCACCCGGCTACTCTTTTGTATTTTTCTTATGAGTGAAATAGAATACCTTTGGATATATTTTAATGACCATTTGTATTTCCTTTTTTTTTCTTAACAGTCTGTTGATGTTCTTAGTGCTGATTTTCTCTGGATTGCTGATCTTTTTCTTACCAAGTTGAGAGACTTTTTATAAATTTGGGAGATGGATCCTGTGTGATAATGAATTTCAAATATTTTTTTCCTAATTATTTGGCCTTTGACATTGCTTATGATGATTTTTTTTTTGTCATGAAAAGTTTCTAATTTTTAGGTAGTCGTAATTATCAACCTGTTCTTTTATGACGTCCAGATTTTAAGTCACGGTGAGAAAGGTTATCTCCACATAACATAAAGGAATTATTTCATGGATTTTTTTTCTAGACCTTTAATGGTTTTGTTTGCTGCATTTAAGTTTTTGATCCATTTGGAGTTTATCCTGGTGTGAAGTGTATGTTTTTACAGATGGCTACTCAGTTGTTCCATTAGCATTTATTTTAAAAGTTCATCCCTATTTCTACTGATTTTGAAAGCCGCCTTAATCATGTACTAATTTTAGAGATTAATTTTAAGCCCTAGTAATTTAACTTTTTGGCTGGATATAGATCTAAAATATGCAACATTTCTTATATTTTCTTTTATGTGTGGCGAAATCACATTTACTGAAGAAAATATAGATGAACAAAACTTAGAAAATGAACTAACTCCAATTCTACTATTTATCAGTGTTAATACTTTTGTGTAACACATACACATACACACACACACACTAGGGTAAAGGTACTACAACAGAGAGATGCAACCATATTATAACAGTATTGTGGCTTATAGAATGTAGAACTGTATTTGTGTTTCATGGAACAGCTCTGGAGTGAGCAGTCTAGGTTGGAGGGAGAAGTCTCTTCTTCCTAGGGTTATTTATTTATTTATTTGAGACAGAGTCTCGCTCTGTCGCCAGGCCGGAGTGCAGTGGCACGATCTCAGCTCACTGCAACCTCCGCCTCCTGGGTTCAAGCGATTCTCCTGCCTCAGCCTCCTGAGTAGCTGGGACTACAGGAATGCGCCACCACGCCCAGCTAATTTTTGTATTTTTAGTAGAGACGGGGTTCACCATGTTGGCCAGGATGGTCTCGATCTCTTGACCTTGTGATCCACCCACCTCGGCCTCCCAAAGTGCTGGGATTACAGGTGTGACCCACTGTGCCTGTCTCTTCCTTTTTTTTTTTTTTTTTAATCTATATTAGATCTAATTCACATATAAAATTCACCATTTTTCGGTGACCAATTCTGTGAGTTCTGAGAAACATAAATAGTTCTACAACCACTACTACAATAAAAATACTGAATCTTTCCACCACCCCGAATATGAGTTCCCTTGTGCTCCTTTGTGGCCAGTGCCTTCTCCTCATCCCCTGAACCCCCAGACCCTGGAAACAACTGATCTGACTTCTATTCCTGTGGTTTTGCCTTTTCATGGAGTCATTCTCAGCCCACTTTCTCTCTGTCTTGTCTCCACCAGTGCTCTGTGGATCCTCATCTCCTTGGTCAAAGCCAGGTCATGGGCACCTTATGGCTACACTTCAGAAGCGGAAAAGAGCATGAAGTGTGTGCTGCTTATGTGTCCATGCCTGGAAGTGGGCCACACCGCTTCTGCTCACTCTTAGAGCTTTTAGAGCAGGGT
Source organism: Homo sapiens (assembly GCF_000001405.40). Taxonomy (NCBI): domain Eukaryota; kingdom Metazoa; phylum Chordata; class Mammalia; order Primates; family Hominidae; genus Homo; species Homo sapiens. The sequence goes on along the minus strand of NC_000017.11, from coordinate 9,302,540 downwards.
GGCTATTTAAGCACAGTTATGAATTCAAAGCATCCAGGGAATATACAAATAGAAAAAAATAAGAATAGGTAACTTAAGGATACCATTTAGGACTTTAGATTAAGCCAACTTAAGGAATGCAGGACAAACTAAGAGGTCAGTGCATTTGAAAGCATATAAACAGTAGGTTTATTAATAAATATAAAAACTATCTATTTGAAAAGGCAGATTAAATAGGCAAATGTCTGCCAAGTATTTTGGCAAAAAAGAAAAAAAACAAAACCACCATATTAAGGATGAGAAGGGGTATATAAACACAGATGCTGAGTTAAAAATTAGAGAATACTATTTATAAATTTATACTAATTAACGGTTCAATGATCTTCTAGAAAACTTCAAGTTCCCAAAATAGTTTAAAGAGTAATTAGAGAACATAAATGGAACAGTAACTGAGAAAGAAACAGGAGGAGTGTACAAAGAATTATCCTCCCCAAAATACTCTGGTACTAGGCAGTTTTATGGGCAAACTATTTCAAACTTTCCAGGAAAAATAATTTCTATGTTATATAAACTATTTCAGAATACAGAAAAGAAGGAAGGCATCCTATTTCACTATATGAATTTAGAATAACTCTAATAACCATACCCAACAAAGATAACATTTACTTACAAATCTGGATGCCAGTCTCACTTATGAATATAGTTACCCTAAAATGCCCTACCTAAAACAATAGCAAAATAAATCTAGTTTTCTATTTAAAAAGTAAAGCACTGGCCGGGCGCCGTGGCTCATGCCTGTAATCCCAACACTTTGGGAGGCCGAGACGGACGGATCACGAGGTCAGATCAAGACCATCCTGGCTACCACGGTGAAACCCCGTCTCTACTAAAAATACAAAAAAAAAAACAAAAATGGCCGGACATAGTGGCAGGCGCCTGTAGTCCCAGCTACTCGGGAGGCTGAAGCAGGAGAATGGCGTGAACGCGGGAGGTGGAGCTTGCAGTGAGCCGAGATCGCGCCACTGCACTCCAGCCTGGGCGACAGAGTGAGACTCCATCTCAAAAATAAATATAAATAAATAAATAAATAAAATAAAAATTAAAAAAAAGTAAAGCACTGTGCCCAAGCCAAATTAATCTCAAGTGTACAAAGAGAGGTTAATATTAGGAAACATATTAACATGATTCATCTCATTAATAAATGGAGTAAAGCCTTGTAATCACCTTAGTAGATACTAAAAAGGCATTTAATAGAGCTCAGTATCTGTTCTTAGTTGTTGTTGTTTTTTAAAAATTACTCTTCAGAAACTAGGAATTAAAGGACACACACTGTATTATCATGCTAAATAATAACTATCACAAACTAAACATTACTAATCATTTTGCCTAATGGTGAAAAACTAGAGGATCAGATCAAGAACAAAATAAGGGGCCAGGAGTGGTGGCTCACGTCTGTAATCCTAGCACTTTGGGAGGCCGAGGCGGGTGGATCACGAGGTCAGGAGATCAAGACCATTGTGGCTAACACAGTGAAACCGAGTCTGTACTAAAAATACAAAAAATTAGCCGGGCGTGGTGGCAGGCTCCTGTAGTCCCAGCTACTCAGGAGGCTGAGGCAGGAGAATGGTGTGAACCCGGGAGGTGGAGTTTGCAGTGAGCCGAGATTGCATCACTGCACTCCAGCCTGGGTGACAGTGAGACTCCGTCTCAAAAAAAAAAAAAAAAAAAAAAGAACAAAATAAGAATGTCCCATCTCATAACTAATACATATCATTAATTTGGAAGGCACAACCTCTGCAATATGCAAAATAAATAAAGAGGAAAAGCCAAAATTAACATCTTACTTGCAAATATTTCCAGTTGTCTACTTGGAAATTTCAAGAGAATCAACTGAAAAACTAAGAACGCCAAGTCCTTTGCCAGATATAAAATAAATATACAAAAATTGTATTCTCATATAACACTCATAACCAGGTAGAAAACATCACAGATGGAGAACAGATTGCATTCACGATAGCTATAAAAGCTCAACAAGAAGTAGATCTACGAAGAAAACTACAAAACATTTCTAAGGTTCAAAACCCAACTCAAACTAGCTGAAGCAAAATAAAAGGGGGAGGGGAGTTTACCATAATTGTGATTTGGGGAGGTCATGACTCACAGGTTTTTTAAATAATTGGGGAATTTTCTTTTTCTTTTTCTTTCTTTCTTTCTTTTTTTTTTTTTTTTTGAGATGGAGTTTCGCTCTTGTTGCCCAGGCTGGAGTGCAATGGCACCACCGTGGCTCACCGCAACCTCCTCCTCCCAGGTTCAAGTGATTCTCCTGCCTCAGCCTCCCAAGTAGCTGGGATTACAGGCATGCGCCACCATGCCCGGCTAATTTTGTATTTTCAGTAGAGACGAGGTTTCACCATGTTGGTCAGGCTGGTCTCGAACCCCCAACCTCAGGTGATCCGCCCGCCTCGGTCTCCCAAAGTGCTGGGATTATAGGCATGAGCCACCGCACCCTGCCTAATTGGGGAATTTTCAACCCCAGAAATTTATAAACACTGGTGAAACAAATGTTTATCTTGGGTGATTGATGTTCATGCCCTGCCTAGGTTCCAAGATCTTGACGAGATAACAACTTAAAGCTCTCTACATCTCCAAGTGTTGGCAAACGTAGTTGATTGAGGCAAACCCAAACTGAAAGGAAAGGAGTTTACATTACATTTAGAGTAACAAATAGCCTAAAGCGGTAGCTTCTAGACACAGCGGTAACTCTACTTCACTGACTGGAAGCAGGAAGTGGTATGACCAGTATTAAATAATGTAAGAATGGCCCGAGCACGGTGGCTCACACCTGTAATCCCTGCACTTTGGGAGGCTGAGGCAGTAGATCACGAGGGCAGGAGATTGAGACCATCCTGGCTAACACGGTGAAACCCTGTCTCTACTAAAAATACAAAAAATTAGCCGGGTGTGGTGGCGGGCGCCTGTAGTCCCAGCTACTCAGGAGGCTGAGGCAGGAGAATGGTGTGAACCTGGGAGGCAGAGCTTGCAGTGAGCCCAGATCGCGCCACTGCACTCTAGCCTGGGCGACAGAGTGAGACTCTTGTCTCAAAAAAAAAAAAAAAAAAAAAGCGTAAGAATGAAGACGGACGCAGGCAATCCCCTCTTTTCCTTCCAAATCATCGAGGTTTTGTGGCTGAAATACAGTTCCTCGGTTTGCTTGGGAAATGACATGCAGACACAGTAAGGCTCAGCATTCTGTATAGCATAGATTGGGAATTAACCATGTGACCACATTTGCACCATCTGAAGTTGGAATTCACAAAAAAAATGTGGAAAACTATGATGAGCTATGCATCCGGGAGAAAAGGTCACTGTGCCTGCGTGAGTGTGTGTTGGAGAAGGCTTGTGTTGGTCACCAGTGCCATCTGAAGTCCAGAAGCAGATGTGAACCCAAGATGGCCTCAGACTGCAAACTCCTAGGCCAAAGGGAAATGACCTTCTACCAACAGAGAATCAAGGAAAGTGAGAGAGGGCTCGCAAAACACCGACAAGAGAAAAACCAGGTGGGAAGGTGAGTGCATCTGGCTAATTGGTCACAGACTGTAAATTCCCCTCAAGCATCTTGTTTTAAGCCACATCTGCTGCTGCTACTTAGAAGAGCCTGGATCTTCTGAGGAGTTGCAAAGGAATGCTTGCAAGGACAGATGCTACTCAGGTTTGGTTTGGTTTTGTTTTGTTTTGTTTTGTTTGTTTTTGAGACAGAGTTTCGCTCTTGTTGCCTAGACTGGAGTGCAGTGGCGTGATCTCGGCTCACTGCAACCTCCGCCTTCTGGTTTCAAGCAATTCTTCTGCCTCAGTCTCCTGAGTAGCTGGGATTACAGATGTCCGCCACCACACCCGGCTAATTTTTGTATTTTTAGTAGAGACGGGGTTTCACCATGTTGGCCAGGATGGTCTCAGTCTCCTGACCTCAGGTGATCTACCCACCTTGGCCTCCCAAAGTACTGGGATTACAGGCGTGAGCCACCATGGCTGGCCCGGTTTTTTTGGTTTTTAAAGTGGAATAACAGAAGTACATTTGCTCACAGAGAGTTACTTGGAAGAGGGAAAGACAAAGCAGGAGTGCACGTGGCAGTGGAAGGAAGATGTTGGAAGAGCACTTAGGAAAACCTGAGCTGATTTCCTCATCAGCCTTTCCATTGCCAGGAACTCTCCTGTGCCTGTGGGTGCCAGGGCTGGGCTGGCCAAAGTACAGAGGTCAGAAAGTTCCACCTCCGCCAACTCACGCTCCACATGTGCTCACATCCATGCTTCCTTCAGTCACTGACACTTTTACTGTCCATCTTCTTCTGCTCAAGAGGAAAGGACTCCCATCAGTTCATCCATGCTCCCACGTCAGAAACAGAGTGTGCTTTCCCAGCCAGTGACATTTCCATTTTAAATGGGAACGGAGGAGGAGGCTGACTGTGACAAACAGGAATCTACCAGCAGTGGAATTTTGGGTATCCTGAAGCTGTTTGGGGAAGACACTTGGGAAAAGAAAGGACTTCTTTTTACCCATCAGGTCATCTCTATTTAGGTAACCACTTGGTCCACCCTTGCTAGGTACATGGAATAACTTTGTTTATAGGAACACCGCTTAAGATACAGTGGGGTCCCAACTTGCCCTTCTTTCAGAAGATGCTCCTGCTGCATCCCCAGCTAACAAACATTCATTTATTGAGAGACAGACACTCACTATATCACCTAGGCTAGTCTTGACCTCCTGGGCTCAAGTGATTCTCCTGCCTCAACCTCCCAGGCAGCTGGGACTACAGGTGTGTGCCACCATGCCTGGCTAATTTTACTGTTATTTTTATTTCTTTAGAGATAGGGTCTTGCCGTGTTGCCCAGGGTGGTTTTGAACTCTTGGGCTCAAGCAGTCCTCCTGCTTCAGCCTCCCAGGTAATGGGAACCATAGGCGTGAGCTACTGCATCCGGCTAACAAACATTTATTGAGTACTTGCTGTTGCCTAGCCCTGGAATGATGACCTCTATTCAGCTTGTATGAGAAGTCACGAATGCTGAAATAAAAGATGTCTTTCTCTCTTTCATGTACCAACCAAGGAAGCATCTCCACATCCATTTTGTTGCCACCTCTGGCCCTGACTCTAAGCTTCCTTGGCATTTTAAGTAGATGAAGAATCATTCCATTAAGTGGGAGTGGCAGGAAGGGTGACAGTGATGAGATTCTCATACTCAGTTCTAAAGATGAGTTTCTATACTCACTAAACCACATTAGGAGCAGGATTCACTTTTTCTTTTTTTTTCTTTTTTTTTTTTTTTTGCAAACTCTGGGCATATGCTATCAGACTGTATGCAAAATGATACAAGGTTTGAACATCTCTACATCAAGTTAAGATTGCAGTTTAATGAGGTAAACATAAATGAGAGCTGACGTTTTTGGAGGTTCACTGTGCATTGGACACCATGCCAAATGCTTCCAAAGCATCATGTCATGAAGTCCTCATACCTGTCCTGTATGAACAGATGCTGTTATTCTTCCCATTTACAAGATAAGGCAACTAGTAAATTCATTGAGCTTGTCTCTTGACAGCTTATGTAATTTTCTGTATATGTATTATACTTGAGTAAGATTTATGTTGAAAAAAATAATGAGATGAGGCCCAGAGAAGTTTAGTAACTTGTCTAAAATCACCCAACTAGTATTAGCAGAGGCAGGATTCAGCCACCACCTTTGTCTCACCTTGGAGCTCACACAGCCCCTACTCTGTACAGCTATCCTTTACATTTAAGTATAATTAAAATCATACTGCATGGCAAGCGGTTACTACAAATAACTGCTTTATATTCACTTACACAGCTAATCCAGCTAATCCTTCATTTTGTCATGTCTTCGCTATCTAGAAATGCCCTTGGTTTGTTTTTTTTTTTTTTTAGTCTTTCAACAATTTACTTCTTTTTTTCCTTCCAGCCATTTACAAGTTTATTGTTGAATGAATGAATTCATTAATTAATCATGTCATAACATTTACATTTACACTAATATACATTTTTTTTTTTTTTTGAGAGATGGAGTTTCACTCTCGTTGCCTAGGCTGGAATGCAGTGGTGTGATCTTGGTTCACTGCAACCTCCACCTCCCAGGTTCAAGCTATTCTCCTGCCACAGCCTCCCAAGTAGCTGGGATTACAGGCACGCACCACCACGCCTGGCTAATTTTTTTGAGACAGAGTCTCTGTCGCCCAGGCTGGAGTGCAGTGGTGCGATCTCAGCTCACTGCAAGCTCTGCCTCCCAGGTTCGCGCCATTCTCCTGCCTCAGCCTCCCGAGTAGCTGGGATTACAGGCATGCACCACCATGCCTGGCTAATTTTTTTGAGACGGAGTCTCACTCTGTCTCCCAGGCTGGAGTACAGTAGCACGATCTCGGCTCACTGCAATCTCCGCCTCCCGGGTTCGCGCCATTCTCCTGCCTCAGCCTCCTGAGTAGCTGGGACTACAGGCACCCGCCACCGCCCCCGGCTAATTTTTTGTATTTTTAGCAGAGGCAGGGTTTCACCGTGTTAGCCAGGATGGTCTCAATCTCCTGACCTCGTGATCCGCCCGCCTTGGCCTCCCAAAGTGCTGGGATTACAGGCATGAGCCACTGCGCCTGGCCACACCTGGCTAATTTTTTGTATTTTTGGTAGAGATGGGGTTTCACCATGTTGGCCAGGCTGGTCTCGAACTCCTGACCTCAGGTGATCCACCTGTCTTGGCCTCCCAAAGTGCTGGGATTACAGGCATGAGCCACTGCACCCAGCCTCCTTTTTTTGGGGGGGAGGGGGGACGGAATCTCATTCTGTCGTCACGCTGGAGTGCGGTGGCGCGATCTTGGCTCACTGCAACCTCTGCCTCCTGGTTTCAAGTGATTCTCCTGCCTCAGCCTCCCGAGTAACTGGAATTACAGGCACCTGCCACCACGCCCAGCTAATTTTTTGTATTTTTAGTAGAGACGGGATTTCACCTGTTGGCCAGGCTGGTCTCGAACTCCTGACCTCGTGATTTGCCCGCCTCAGCTCCCGAAAGTGCTGGGATTACTGGTGTGAGCCACCGTGCCTGGTCCCAGCCTACATTTTCAAGATAATATCCTAGATTTGTTCATTTCTTTAATTTGTCTATAAACAATTATTGAATGTCTGCTACATGCTAGGGACCAGGACTATAAAGTTGACTAAGGTGGTCTCTTCTTTCAAGGGGCTCGGAGTCTAATAGGAACAGTTAGGCTTGTTTTAAAAAAGACTAAGTCAATAAAGTGTTATGGGTTCTAAGATAAGATCCCTTCACATAGAGAGGAGGCATCAAGGAAGAAATGGCTAGGATGAATGAGAAAGACCTCATAGAAGAGGTGACTCTGAGTTTTCAAATATAAATTAGTGTTGGCCAAGAGCCAGGGAGGTGGCAGGGCCAACAAGGCTCACTCCATTAGTCTGCTCAAGCTGCCATAACAAAATACCAGGCGGGGTTGCTTAGCCAACAGAAGTTTATTCTCTCAGAATTCTGGAGATTAGAAATCCAAGATCAGGGTGCCAGCAGGGTCGGTTTCTGCTGAGGCTTCTGTCCTTGGGTTGCAGATGGCTGCCTTCTTGCTCTGTGCTCACGTGGCCTTTCCTCTGTGCATGCTCAGAGTATGCAAGTTCAGAGAAGGAAAGAGCCCTCTGGTGTCTCTTCCTCTTCTTATAATGACATCAGTCCTATTGGACTAGTACCCCACTCTTATGACCTCATTTTCATTTTCATTACATTTTCAAAGTTCCTGTCTCCAAATACAGTTACATTGAGGATTTGGGCTTCAACATATGAATGTTGGGGTGATACGATTCAGTCCATAATGCTTACCAACACTAGAGTTTCCCTGGCCCCTAGTTCTTCCTTATGTTTCATCAATGAAGTACCCTCCTCTGCACACACCTTCTTAAGAATCCTTTCCCATGCATTCTTCCCATCCCTGGAAGTCTCTAAGGAGCGATTCCTGATTCCTGTCTGCTCCTTGTTGTCTGCTCTAAAGAGTGTAAGACTGCCAAAGCTCCTGTTTATGAAACGCCTGGCTTCAGATGTTCCACCCTCACTCAGAGCTGATCCTGATGGAGAAGCAACAGTTGCCTTCCATGCAGGAATCTTCTCTTTCAGTGATTCTGTTGTATTTCCAGCTTTCCTGAGCCATTGAGGCCCACCATAGGGTTTTGCACATAGTAAGGGCTCAGAAAATACGAGTTCTCTTCCTCTTTCACTTTATCACCATTAGGCCTTCCAGCCAGACTTCATATCTTTCCTTTCCTTCCTATCTTGTGTTACGCCATCTCTCTCACTAAGAGTTCTTTGCTGACCCTGGGGCCAAATTAGCAAGATGTGACCAACAGCACTGCAATAGACATCAGAAGACCCAAACCCTAGGCCACCTCTAGGCTAGCCGTGGAATCTTCATCATTTGCTTCATCTATAAGATGGAGAAAATAAGACTTGGGCCAGGGGCAGTGGCTCACGCCTGTAATCCCAGCACTTTGGGAGGCCGAGACGGGCAGATCACTAGGTCAGGAAATCGAGACCATCCTGGCTAACACGGTGAAACCCCGTCTCTACTAAAAATACAAAAAAAAAATTAGCCAGGCGTGGTGGCGGGTGCCTGTAGTCCCAGGTACTTGGGAGGCTGAGACAGCAGAATGGCGTGAACCCGGGAGGCGGAGCTTGCAGTGAGCCAAGATCGTGCCGCTGCACTCCAGCCTGGGCGACAGACAGAGACTCCATCTCAAAAAAAAAAAAAAGTACTATAAATGGTGACCACATAAAAAGTTAAACATGACATCTGGGGTTACTGCAAAGCTTAAAATGGATAACATATATGTCACGGTTCTTTGCAAAGTACAAAGTGTCGTATTCACTTCAAAATTAATGACAGTATTCTATTTTTATGGTAACATTTTCTGGGTAGACCGCCGGACCTTCTTACACCTCCTATCTCACTGTCATCACTTATCCAAGGACCTTAATCAGGTCTTTGAGAATTCTTCATAGCTACCTCATGCCCAAGTTATAATGTTCTCATTAAAAAAAAAAAAAGTCTCTAAAATTCCACATCTTCTGTGAGGTCCTCATAAGCTGATTACAGGTAGGGGATGACTTCCCCAGGAAGCCGTGTAAGGCAGTGGCTGCAGACACTGTTTTGAGGGGTCTACAATCTGACTTTCTGGATTGGAATCCAGCTCCATTGGTTACCAGCTGTGAGACCTCGAGCATCCCTTAGATACTCCTAGAATACTGCCTAGAAACTAGAAGTATTCATGGGATCTACCCAACATTGGGAGATTTGTGAGGGTGAAATGAATTATAGCATGTGTATTCTTCAGAACAATGCTTGGCACTTTGTAAATGCTCTCACTATTCATTATTATTTTTCTTTATCTACCTAGGAGACATGGAGGTCCCTGGCTGCTGTGTCCCAGTGGTTATTTAGTGATTGTACCCAATTCAATAATATTGGTGAAATGAATTTAAATTTGCTTAACCAACCAGTATCCATGATGATACCGGATATTCATGTTTTGTTCTATTTTCTGTCAGGTTACTTTAATCTGTCTTGAAAATAATCTTCCTAGAGTTGCTTGCTGGTTGGGTGTAAGGCCTTGTGTTTGGAGAGAAGATGGGGGGCATGAGAGCTGAATAGCTAGTGGCATCTGAGGACTTGGGGCATGGGAACTGCAGAGCACATTCTTAGAAACAGCCAGAGAGCATTCAGCGAGGGGAAGACTTGTTGGCTCAAGAGGAAATTCTGCTGCTTCCAAACCAGCTTGGTGAAGCAAGATGATTCTGCAAGCCCTAGTAAGCCAGGGCCAGGACTGTGAGCTGTGCTGCTGAAGGGGTTCAATGCCAAAGTAAAGAAAGGGGATTCTTTTTAGTTGGAGGTGAGAGGAGGAAACTCCTTCCTGTAGGCCTCAGAATAAAGCATGCTCGAGATTAGCCATTAGCAGGTAGCTGGAGAAATATGAGTGCCTCCTCTTTATTTTGTCTGCTGTAAAGTTATCTTTCTGAAGTCTGTGTTGTGTTATGAAAGAGACAAGTTTAATAAACAGATTCTATTTTTGTTCAAGCTGTGGCTTAGAAAAGCACCATAAATCTCTGAACTGGGAACCCACTGGGCTCTGTATGCCTGTCACTCTCCCTTCCACCACACGGTGGTGACACACCTAAGCTGCAGGTCTCCCACGCCAGTGAATGCTGAAGCCCCACGGACAGGCCCCACGGTGGAGACCGTGACACTGACTTCCAGGATGCCTTTGCTCTACCCTTATATCGTTCATATGTTTAGTACCCATTTATTTGTCTGAGGTTCTTCTTTGTGTAAAGGAATTGCCCTGTGGGCAGGGACTCCGTCCATCCACCTCTGGGCCAGTCCTGTACCTCCTGGATTCCCAGTGCCTCTGCCCCAGCTCCAGCAGCTTCTTCCTTAGCTCTAGTCCTGGTCTGGTTAGCTGGCAGCACCCCATCCAACACTCAGGAACACATCAACACAGGAGAAAATCCCACTTCTCCTTAGTTCAACTAAGGCAAGGCGGGAGGATTTGAAAGAGAACTTTTCCTTGGAAACAACACCAAAATATACACAAAAGCATAAATAAATGAATACGTTCACAGAGTTTAGCCTGCAGAACCAGACTTAAGATAAAACAGCAAGCAATAAAGACTGGCTAGCGGAGCCTTTGGACTGTTCAAAGCCCAGTTTCTTCCCCAACCTCAATCTCTAGGAATCTTGTAGGGCAGTTTAGCAAAGATAGCTCAAATCCTATCCCAAGATAGATTTTATTTATAATTTGTGACCTATGTATTCCAAAGAGGACATGGGTAGTTTACAATAAAAGATGTATGTATATATAAAATCTCAAAGCTGTTAAAGAATAGAAAATGTTTACATGTAGAAGAGAACGTAAATAAAATATGTCCAATTCCTAAACTAATACCATATTTGAGCATTAAATTTAGCACTGAGGATAGAATCTTGGAAAACCAACACAGAAAGGGAAATATGATGTGTACCACAATGGAAGTATTTAATAGGAAAGGAAAGAAACATACTTTTTTTTTTTTTTTTTTTGAGACCGAGTCTCACTCCCATCGCCCATGCTGGAGTGCAGTGGCGTGATCATGGCTCACTGCAGCTTCAAATTCCCAGGCTTAGGTGATCCTCCCTCCCTCCTGAGTAGCTGGGACTACAGGTACCCACCACCACACCCAGCTAATGTTTTGTGTTTTTAGTGGACACGAGGTTTCACCATGTTGCCCAGGTTAGTCGTGAACTCCTCGGCTCGGGTGACTTTTCGGCTTCGGCCTCCCAAAGTGCTGGGAGGTGTGAGCCACTGCGCCCAGCCAAAACATACTTTTTAAGAAAGGCAAGCTTTTTCCTGATACTGAATATTTAATCTCAGTAATTGAAGCATATAATTCTACAGTGATTTTATACAACACACACAAACTCTATTTGGTTGACAGTAATATTTGTTCGGGTTGATTCTACTTCTGGATCCTCATTTCTTCCTAGAACTTGTTCCATGTTCACCATGGCTATGCAACATTCCCTTTTTGAAGCTGACCTTAGGTAGTGCGGAAACCCCCAAAGGGTTGTCTTTTTCAGCAGAGGACATTAGACAAGAATGAGCCTCCCAGGGGACAGGGTTACTGCACCCTAATAAGAAGCATGTACGTCCTGGACTGGGTGGCAATGTGTGCCTTTCCCCTTTTCCAAACAGGAGCTTTTGGTAGCATCCTCAGGGCATTTGTCTACAGGTATATATCGGATATATTGGAAATAACTAAATTACTTGGTCATAATATGGAGAACTATTTATGAACTGGGTTGAGAAGATGACCATTAACCAGAGATCTGGGACTTGTACCACAGAGGCCCCTCCTTCCCTCGCTATACTGTAGCAAGATGTGATTTGAGATTTTTCTCCCGTTGGGAAGGAAGTGAATGCAGTTTTGGTTGTGCTTGGGATAATTATATTTTGATAAATGTATCAAATTTGCTTGAAATTGTATATACCTGTGTGTGTGTTTGTGCGTATACGCGCACACGTGCTTGCTGAGCAGCCAAGAGGAGAGTGTAATGAATGTGTGTTCTCTTCTGTCTCTAACACCCAATACCTGCGTGTTCCATGGCGTTCAGATGCAGGTGGCACTCACCCCCATCCTGCCCTACACCTGCCCTCAATCCACACACAGTGGCATGCATTTGACATAGACTTTCACCTGGTGATGAGTCAAAATAATGGCATAATTTAAAAAGACAAATAGTGCAGGGTGTATTTCAAAAGAGAAAACAGAAAGCAAGAGTCACCTGTTTCACCTTCCTTCCCCTACACCCCACTCTCCAAAGGAAGGTACTTTCAACTCTTTCACACTCTCTTCTTGGTTTTGCTTTCTTATTTCTAAATAATGTACTTGTACTGACATGACTCGATTTGCTTGCAATTCTAGAAGCTGTCTCTTAACTTCCTCCTGTGGGAAATGATTAGTTCTTTCATTGTCCGCCCACACACATGCTCAGGCACTCACACTTCTTTCTCTGTGCTACCAACAGAGTTAAACTACAATTGTTAGTTATCACTCATTGTTTTCATTTTGACCATATCAATATCATTAACAGAGCTACGTAGTTTATTGTAATTAGATCTCCTTTCTCATGCAATATTTTGTGTTTTTTTGGAACTTATTGTCATTTTTCCCTTTGTGTGTTTTGTTTTGTTTTTGTTTTTTTGAGACGGAGTCTTGCTCTGTCACCCAGGCTGGACTGCAGTGGCGCGATCCCGACTCACTGCAAGCTCCACCTCCCGGGTTCATGCCATTCTCCTGCCTCAGCCTCCCGAGTAGCTGGGACTACAGGCGCCCGCCACCACACCCAGCTGATTTTTTGTTTTTTTTTTTAGTAGAGATGGGGTTTCACCATGTTAGCCAGGATGGATTTTCCCCTTTGTCTATTATAATTCTTGCCCTAAATTACTACCAAACTAAAAAAAAAAAAAATTTGTGGGTATCGTCAGATGCACATCAAATAATCTGTCTTTTTTATATTTTCCTTGGGGTCAGCTCTCCTGGAGTCCTCGTCCTTCTAAACCAGTCCAAACTGGTAGCTGTCTAGGACAGCACTCCTCTGCTAGGCCTTCTTAATATCTTCTTGAGACTTTCCATCAACTCTTTCTTCTTTTGGAGCCCTTCATTCCTGGAACTCATTTTCTTGCTTGATTTACCCCCTTAAGCCTCCCCTAGCTTTCTAAGAAAGAGTACTTGGGAAATAAATTTTCTTGAGATAGTACTTGTCCAAAACTATCTTTATTATCTCCCTTGTTGTTGATTGATTGACTGCATATAAAATTTTAGGCCGGAAACAATTTGCACTCCAAATTTTGGAGGCATCTTGCCTTGACTACTAGCTTCCGGTATTGCCATAGAGAAGTCCAGTGCCTGTCTGATTCCAGAACCTTGTTGTACATCCTATTTTGCTCTTAGGAGCATCTCTTTAGTCCCAGCATCCTAAATTTCACACAGAAGGCCTTAGCATAACTTCCCCGCTTACCCCCGTTATTGTGTTGGGTATTTTGTGAACGCTTCAGTTTGAAAATTCATGTCCTTCAGTTCTCAAAACATTTTCTTATAGCTTTCATGATTACCTCCTGTGTTTTCTCTTTTCTTTCCTTCTGCTGCACCCCTTAATTGGATATTGGGTTTCATAGTTTAATCCTTGAATTTCCTTATTTTCTCTTCTGTCTTTCATTTTTTGGTTGTTTTGTTCATTTCTTCAAGTGAGTCTTAAAATTCTTCCATTGAAATTCTTTTATTTATTTATTTATTTATTTATTTATTTTATTTATTTATTTCGAGACGGAGTCTCACTCTGTCACCCAGGCTGGAGTGCAGTGGCGCGATCTCGGCTCACTGCAAGCTCCACCTCCCGGGTTCACGGCATTCTCCTGCCTCAGCCTCCCGAGTAGCTGGGACTACAGGCGCCTGCCACCACGCCCGGCTAATTTTTTTGTCATTTTAGTAGAGACGGGGTTTCACCGCGTTAGCCAGGATGGTCTCGATCTCTTGATCTCGTGATCCACCCGTCTCGGCCTCCCAAAGTGCTGGGATTACAGGCGTGAGCCACCGCGCCCGGCCCATTGAAATTCTTTATAGCTGCTGTCTTCCTTTTTCACTCCAAGGCTTTCTGATTTTTTAATTTATTCTGTTCTAATTTCATAGATATTACATATTTTATCTCTATGATAATTGTAATTATTGTTTCTTTCACATTTTCTTCTGTTCTTTGCGTTGTATCTTGTCATTGGATTCCTTTTTCTGTTTTTTTTTTTTTCAGGGGGAAGGTTGGTTTTTTGTTTTTGGTTTTTTTTTTTTTTGTTTGTTTGTTTGTTTGTTTTGCTTTTCTCCCCCCCCCCCCCCTTGTCAAATGTCTAGTGATGCTTGGCTACCCATTAATGTTAAAGAATGTAGGCCAGGCATGGTGGCTCACACCTGTAATCCCAGCACTTTGGGAAGCCGAGGCGGGTGGATCACAAGGTCAAGAGATTGAAACCATCCTGGCCAACATGGTGAAACCCTGTCTCTACCAAAAATACCAAATTAGCTGGGCGTGGTGGTGCTCACCTGTAATCCCAGCTACTTGGGAGGCTGAGGCAGGACAGTCACTTGAACCCAGAAGGCAGAGGTTGCAGTGAGCCGAGATGTGCCACTTCACTCCAGTCTGGCGACCGAGTGAGCCTCCATCTCAAAACAAAAAAAAAAGAATGTAAAAAGACATATGAAAGTTCTATAGGCATGGGTGGGATCTGTTGAATTGCAGATTTCACAGAAGCATTATCAGGCAGGGGAGGACCTAGTCATTGATTGGGGATCCCAAACAGGACTATCTGCATTTCTTTTGTCTTTGTTTAGTCCATCACTGCTGAGAGGAGCCCTGTAGTCCCCCCTAATGAGTGGAAACTTGGCTGTTAATTGTCTGGGAGCCAAACAGGAAGAGGGGACAGCCAGCTTCTCATGCCCTATGAAAACCAGGATTTCATCTCCCTATTTCCAGCATCTCGTCATATCCCTTTCTTCTTCTGTGCCTGTTGCCCCCATGTTTCAAGCTCCCCAGTCCAGTTTCACCTGTGAACATCTCTCCTGAGAAGATAGGGGAGAGGTAGTTTGCCTGATTGTGTGCGGTGGTGGCAGGGACCTGGGGTGCATCTGGCCCTCATATAGTCTTTAACTAGTCCCCCTGTTTTTAGCCTCACCTGCAGGAGAACCTGATGGAGCCTGCCCCACCCCAAATCTGCTGTTTAGGTTTCATCGTCATCTACTGTAAGACACTGATGACTTATCCATCTGCTTTCCATCTCCTGACATTTTGTTGCTGTATCTGATGGGATGTCATTTTCTCTCCTGTTCTTTTGGTTTATATATTTATACCATTCCCCACTAGTAGAGTTTGGGGAGCGGGGAGAGATAACCAAGGGCATTCAGTTTGCCCACGTGAAATCAACACATGACATACATCATCCTTCCAGGCCTCATTTACAGCCCCGTGAGACAGGTAATGTCATTCCCATATCACAGACAAGAGGCAAAGACCCTGAGAGGTGAGGGCCAGTGCTCAAGGTCACGTAGCTGGTCAGTGGCATAGCCTCAGCTCGAACCCAGGTACACCTCTGAAGCCCACTGTTTCTACTACCACGCCACCCTTTTTCTGAGTCTCTGGGGTTTTGCAGGGATTCCTTTACCACACCGAACAATATTCATCAGGAATACACACCACACACCGTCCCAAGGGGCCACATAGTTCAGCTAACAGGACTTTTTTTTTTTTTTTTTTGCTTCCCTTTGTTCCCTGAAGCAATTATTTCTTTATTTCATTTAAAGACTCAGCCTCTGCAGCTGCTGTAGCCAGCTTAGAGTTGTCTGAAGGTTGAAGACAAGAACCAAAGCCGTGAGCTTACAAGCTATCAAACTTGAAAGATGTATTGAGGTGAAATATCGCTGCAGAGCCTCCCTACCAAACCTTTTTTAAGTGCTTTTTCTTTCCAAAATGAAAAAGAACCGTTTGTACTACACATGCATAAAATCGTCAGCTCTGGCAGTGTTCAAGACAATATTTTTTTGTAACTACCCACCCCAACATAACAGACAGTGTTGTCTCCCAAAGCCAAAATAATTGTGTGTGTTGTGCCCTGATATTTAGAAGTCAAAGATCGGCGTATGTGTGTGGGCCGAAACGTATGCCCTTCCTACTCTCTTTTGGAGAAGAGAGCCTGTGCTAACAGTTAAATAACTTTCGTTTTCATACCGAATATTTAAGTTGCAAATTTGAGCCATGTGGGCAGGGGTTTGAAATCAAGAGAGCTGAACTGCTGAGGTGCTTTTGGAGTTCAACCATTTGGATCAAACGTAGACTGACTTCACGGGGAAGCATTCAAGTTGAGTTTTTCATCCCATCTATGATCTTGCCTTATTTTTTTTTTTAAGCCTTACCAAGTCTGCTATTTCCCTCGGCGTTTCCAAAGCGCTCCATATAGTTATTGGCAAGTGTGGGATGCGGTAATATGGGGATTCCAGAAGAAGTTCGTTACAATTTTTCAGAAGTATTGAGTAAATTAGTCACTTTTGAAGGGAAAATGTGAAGGTATTGTTTGTCTTTAAAGTATTTGTTTTTCTAAGCACAAGTGCCTTAGCAACTGTATGTGAAGACAGGTTTATTTCAGCAGAATTTGTAGTAAACAATGTGTTCATTTATGACCAGGCATTGGTACATGTACTAGTTTCATTTGCAATTTTCAGGCATGATATAACCAGCATGTAACAATTCCAAAAGATGTTTTGCCTTTTTGTATTTATTTAACCAGGGTGATCACTGTTTGGGACTACCAGGCTTGGATAAATAGGCACCCTCGATCTGCCCCATGCAGGAACAGATGGGCATCTCATTGTGTGTAATGTTCTGGGCTTCACCCTGGCTTCTGGAGGCCGGCCTTAGAGAAAAGGCCCATCTAGGTCAGACCAGGAAATGTGGTATTGAAGACACCCAGCAGTCCAGGGCCTCAGGTAGACGGAGATGTCCCAGATGTTTCTCCTTTTTTTTTTTTTTTTTTATCACTACTTTGGACCTCTACACTGGTTTCTGCTGATTCTGGTTGTTTTATATCCAACACCTGCAGAATAGAGTTTGGTGGCTCAGCACCAAAGACAGTGTTTCCGTCCACCAGATGTTGCCTGAGGTGTTTGTTAGAAATGCAGATTCCTGAGTCTGAGCCCAGGCTTCCTGAAGCTGATTCCCTGAGCCTTGGGGCCTGGGAATCTGTTTTTCTCTCTAAGCCCTACCCACAACCTGTGATTCGTGGGCAAATTGTTATTATCCATAGTGTCCAGATTTCCCTGATGATAAGAATCACACGATGCTCTTACTAAAAATACAAATTCCTGGGCCCTCTCCCGGAACCGCTGAATCAGAATCTCCAGGGGGGTGGGGCCTGGGAAGCTGGGAGAATGGAACCTAGTATTCCAGAAAACTTAAGATCCTAAGGCCAAGGTTCCCTGCTGGAAACCATCAGAGGAAATAAAGCAAGCCCCACCCATGACTTTGAAAAACTTTGCCTCTGTTAATTAAAACATAAGACTAAGGGAGAGAACTGAGAAGGATCTTGCGTGTTTCGGCCCCTAGAAAGTCAAGTCAGAAACTTTTTGAGGTTAATTTTACCCATTTACCTGTGATATTTCTAGGACTTTTGAAGTTTTCTAATTCTGCTAAGTCGAAGTCTAGATATAAAGTCAGTCCTTATTATTCTGCTGATTAAAAGATCTAGAGGAAACTTTAAACTTATTTTTTTCCCTGATTATTTCAAAAAGTATGTTTCATTTGCCTTGACTTTTCAAAAACAAGAGTAGCTTTATACACTTTTAAAGAAAAAAAATTTTTTAAACAACTGTCATTGCTCATATCTTCTGAACTTTCCTACTTTATCCATATGTAAACTGTGAGCTTCTGAGGTCCAAAAAAACATGTATTGTTTATCTCCGTATCTCCAGGGTGCAGACCATTGCCTTAAGTGAATGCTGTATGAATTGAGAAGAAAATATTTTATTTTCTCCGTAGTTTATTTTCTTTAGCTAAGACGATCAGAGTTAAACCTAACCTTTTTTGCTTATTTGTTTTGGTGAGCCGTCTTGTAGTTGATCATTGGTTTATTAATTTGAAGATTTACACAAGGCAAGATGCTGATTTTTTAAAAAAGGAAAACTTAGAGACAAACCATACAATTGTACATATCTGAAAAGAGCTGTGCAGATCCCCTGTATCCTGCTGAGGAAATTTCATTGCATAAATGGGTTACTATTAGTTGATGGAAAAATTAAGTTAACTGGAATCCCCAGTTCACTGACCATGCCAGTTAACTGAGGTATGAGTGTCCTGTTTAAACTCTCAGAGCTATTAAATTAAACGATCATGACATGAAACCTCAGAAAAGTCTTATTGTTGTCTAGAAAGATTGTGTACAGGTGTTGCTAGCCTACTTTAGAATAAAAAAGGCTTCAGTATTCTCAAAAATCATTTCCTCTCCCGAGGAAATACACCACAGTAAAACAGCCTTTTCCAGTACTGTAATTGCTGGCTTTCTGCTTCAAAAGAAAATCCTCGAATATGATTCAGGTTACAATTTCCATCAGACTTTTCTGAGTAGACTATAATAATTTTGTGTTTGATTAATAAAATAATTCCAGAAATGAAAAGAAATAGAATTTAATCCATAGAGACCAAGGTTGTTGGAAACATGCAGTTATTGAAAACATTGCTTTTAATTTTGAAAGATGCATACAGTTCAACCTTATTAAATGAAAAGAATGTCGTTCTATCCATTGCGAAAGCTCCACATTCCAAGTTCTCATGGTACTTTTCTTGAGTTTATACTTTAACCCCAGTGACATGAAAACACTGAGAATTCTATTTCTTTTATTTGTTTGTTTGTTTGAGATGGAGTCTCGCTCTGTCACCCAGGCTGGAGTGCAATGGCATGGTCTTGGCTCACTGCAACCTCTGCCTCCCAGGTTCAGTGATTCTCCTGCCTCAGCCTCCTGAGTAACTGGGATTACAGGCGCGCACCACCACACCCGGCTAATTTTTGTAGTTTTAGTAGAGACGGGGTTTCACCATGTTGACCAGGCTGGTCTCGAACTCCTAACCTTGTGATCCGCCCACCTCAGCCTCCTAAAGTGCTGGAATTACAGGTGCGAGCCACCTCTCCTTGCCTGAGAATTCTATTTCAAACACAGAAGGTTGAATATTTATAGAAAGGAAAAAA
This sequence comes from Homo sapiens, assembly GCF_000001405.40. Taxonomy (NCBI): domain Eukaryota; kingdom Metazoa; phylum Chordata; class Mammalia; order Primates; family Hominidae; genus Homo; species Homo sapiens. The sequence continues at coordinate 9,283,208 of NC_000017.11, read as the reverse complement.
CCCTTTAGTTTAAGAAAAGTAATTTCTAATTGTCCACAGCTTTTTGTCAGAGTAAAGATATTATTTGGACCAGGGTCACAACATCTGTAATTGTGAGTGCTCTGTTTTTCCTATCAAGAATACCTGTCAGGTGTCCTGGGCTCTCTTGTCCCCTGGAATCCCTATCTAGGTTCTACAGCAAATACGTAAACTCTCTTGCTTCTTGACTTTCTACCCAACCTATGCTGGTGTCTTTAGATGTCTACTTGTTAGAGGACATACATGTGCAGTTCTTCAGTTTTGGTAAAGAAAGAAAAAAAAAAAAGATTCATCTCCATAAAGTGACTGTCTCATTTCAAGTATTCAGATTTGCAAGTTAGCTCTTGCCTGGATATTTTCTCTCAGAAATTTTCTTTAGGCTGGTTATGCATGCGGCCACCAGGTGAGCAGGAGAATCTCAATTCTGCCCTTTGTGGCCATATAGGTTGGCCAGAGGAGTGTCTCGTAGGGAAGAAGGCTTATGTTCCATTGGCTGACTTTTTCTTTCCACCGTGATGAATAGCTAAGTCTGAGTTATAAGATGATGCCAGCAGTTTTAAGCGAAGAAAACGGACACCTGGAGACACTAACGTTTCATTCATAAAGAGGATAGCTTCCAGTTGCACCAACTGCGTGCCTTTCTGTTGAACCCTGTCTTACCATACTTTCAAATAATGTAATGTTGGAAGGAATAATGAATGAAGAAATGTACTCTACCAAGGCAAAGAGGAGGGATTATAGTAAGAAAATGTCATCAGGCCGGGTGCAGTGGCTCACGCCTGTAATCCCAGCACTTTGGGAGGCTGAGGCGAGTGAATCACTTGAGGTCAGGAGTTTGAGACCAGCCTGGCTAACACGGTGAAACCCTGTCTCTACTAAAAATACAAAAAATTAGCTGGGCATGATGGCAGGTGCCTGTAGTCCCAGCTCCTCGGGGGGCTGAGGCAGGAGAATGGCGTGAACCCGGGAAGCCAAAATTGCAGTAAGCCAAGATCACGCCACTGCACTCCAGCCTGGGTGACAGAGCCAGACTCCATCTCAAAACAAAACAAAACAAAACATGTCATCAGTACCAAACAAAAATTTATCAAATGTACAAAAACATAAAATGTCCATCTGGAAATCTCAGATAGAGGGGGGAAATGGAGAAGTGGCATCTGATGAGGCCTCCAACAGGAGAGTGGGGAGAAGGCCCCAGGAGGGCCCTGGTGGAGAGGCCTCCAGCAGCTGTCGATGCTAGACCCATACCTGAGCTCTTAGATGGAGTCTCACTCTGTAGCTCAAGCTGGAGTGCAGTGGTGCAATCTCAGCTCACTGCAACCTCCACTTCCCAGGTTCAAGCGATTCTCCTGCCTCAGCCTCCCGAGTAGCTGGGACTACAGGTGTGTGCCACCACACCTGGCTGATTTTTGTATTTTTAATAGAGATGGGGTTTCACCATGTTGGCCAGGCTGGTCTCAAACTCCTAACCTCAGGTAATCCACCTGCCTCGGCCTCCCAAAGTGCTGGGATTACAGGCGTGAGCCACTGTGCCCAGCCTTTTAATATTTTTATAGTCACTCCAAGGGACTGTGTCTGCTTCACAGTTAGGATACTCACAGTAGAGGTGGGTCTGCACCCAGCCCCCCACCCAAACAGGAAAATTTCCCCTGTGGCTCACTACCCAAAAGACAAGTTCTCTGTAATCCCAGTGGAAGAAAACCAAATATCGTGCTGTCAAAACTTGCTCGCAGCAATTCCAAGATTTCTAGAACTAGGCTCACGATCTTCTCCAGCCCTGCTTTTCTTCTGTTTTCTATCTCAATGAGCAAGACCACCAACCACTCCATTTCTCAGGCCAAATACCCAGGAATCATCCCTGCTTCTGCTCAGCCCCTACATCTCGTCCGATGCCAGTTTTCACCAATTCCACCTCCTGAGTGTCTATGAAATCCACAACACTGCTTTTCCTTCCCACAGCCTCACCTTGACTTCAGCCTCTGTCATCTTCTGGATCACTCCTGTCACTTCCTGCATCGCCTTCCTGTTCCAGTTCTGCCCCCTCTAGTCCATTCTCCACGTTGAAGTCAGGAGGAGCTTTGGAAAATGCAGATTTGCGTCTGTGAACCCTCCCCCTCCACCATTACTTCTTCCCGCTGAAACCTCTCAGAGCCTCTCTATTGCCCAGATTCCTTGTCACACCTAGGGCCCTGTGCAATCCACTCTCCTGCTTATCTGTGGCCCACACACATAGACACACAACTCTGCATCCAACATCTTTGTAATTGTTACTGAGGTGTGCCCTACTGTGCCTCCACATCAATTTCCTTACGACAGATTGTGCTTTCTTAACCTGTCTAAGCCTTAGTTTCCTTGCCTGCAGATTGAGAATAGTCCTAGTTGCCTCACAGTAATTTGGCAGGTTCCTGAAAGATCCTGTTGCTATTTGAGTTAAATGTTTATATTAACATGGAGAGAACTGACAGGCACACAGCTCTGAGTCTTCCCATCCAGAAATATGGTATGGATCTGTCTTTGTTCATATTTTCTTTTACGGTTCCTCAGTAAACTTGTGGAATTTTCAAAAAGTCGTTCTGTCCATTTTTGTTCATTCCTTTGTTCTCTGTTCATTAGTTTTTAAAATTTTGTTTCTTTTTTGAGATGGAGTTTTGCTCTTGTTTCCCCAGCTGGAGCGCAATGGTGCGATCTTGGCTCACTGCAACCTCAGCCTCCCAGGTTCAAGTAATTCTCCTGTCTCAGCCTCCCAAGTAGCTGGGATTACAGGCGCCCGCCACCACACCCGGCTAATTTTGTAGTTTTAATAGCAACGGGGTTTGACGATGTCAGTCAGGCTGGTCTCCTGACTTTAAGTGATCCACCCGCCTTGGTCTCCCAAAGATCTGGGATTACAGGCGTGAGCCACTGTGCCCGGCCGTTCATCAGTTATTAATACACTTTTTTCATTGATTTTCTTTTTTTCTTTTTTTTGAGATAGGATCTTACTCACTGTGTCTCCTACGCTGGAGTGCAGTGGCATGATCTCAGCTCACTGCTGCCTTGACCAGCCAGGCTCGAGCAATTCTCCCACCCCTGCCTCGCAGTAGCTGGGACTAGAGGCGTGCACCACCACGCCTGGCTGATTTTTGTATTTTTTATAGAAATGAGGTTTCACTGTGTTGCCCAGGCTGGTCTCAAATGCCTGGGCTCAAGTGATCCACCGAAGTGCTGGGATTACAGATGTAAGCCATCACACCCTGTTATATTTTCTGATTGATTTTAACTGCCTTATGAGAAAGGAGTTGGAATCTATTGATGTATTTTAAGCTATCCTTTTTTCTTTAGTTCAAAAGGGTTTTCTGTGGATTATTTTGTTATTTCCACGTTAGGTGTTCTCATTATCTGCAAATAATAATTTTGTCTCCTGCAGTTCTTGAAGAGGAAAACCAAAAAACAGATGGGGTCAGGCTTGTCACAGTGAAGAAGAGGGTTGTTGTTGGCAGCATGAGGGAGACCTGTTGCTTCTGGGGATGTTCTGTAGCAGGGAAGACAGTGAGAAGTCCATCATAGTCTAGTCTAGAGCTGGGCACCTGGCTGTGAAAGCAGAGAAGATGGTTTGGAAGCTGTGTTACTGGTATCTTAGGTCTTTTTCTACTTCTGTACAACCTTAACTTTATTGTTATGACTATATGTTCGAGTTAGTCAACTCTGATGATAAACTTAGTCAAAGCTGGGTTCAAATCCCAGGCCCAACACTGAAAAGCTCTGAAACCTTAGGTAAATTGCTTAATGCTTCTGAGCGTCAGGTTCATTAATAATAATGATGATGGCCAGCTGTAGTGGCTCACGCCTATAATCCCAACACTGGGAGGCTAAGGTGGGTGGATCACCTGAGGTAAGGAATTCGAGGTGGGTGGATCACCTGAGGTCAGGAGTTCGAGACCAGCCTGGCCAACATGGTGAAACCCTGTCTCTACTAAAAATACAAAATTAGCCAGGCGTGGTGGCGGGTGCCTGTAATCCCAAATACTTGGGAGGCTGAGGCAGGAAAATTGCTTGAACCCGGGAGGTTGCAATGAGCCGAGATTGTGCCACTGAACTCCAGCCTGGGCAACAAGAGTGAAACCCCATCTCAAAAAAAAAAAACAAAAAACAAAAAACACACACACAGAATAATAATGACAATAATAGTAACACCAGTTTACAGTGTGATGATGGGGATTAG